>NC_000006.12:162040486-162192002 GCF_000001405.40 Homo sapiens
CCTCTGCCTCTCAGGTTCAAGCGATTCTTGTGCCTCAGACTCCCAAGTAACTGGGATATACAGGCGCCCACCACCATGCCCGGCTATTTTTTTTTTTTTTTTTTTGTATTTTTTTGTAGAGACGGGGTTTCACCATGTTGGCCAGGCTGGTCTTGAACTCCTGACCTCAGGTGCCACCCACCTCGGCCTCTCAAAGTGCTGGGATTACAGGGGTGAGCCACCATGCCTGGCCTAGAACCACATTTTTGATGTATTTATGAACCTGCAGACATATTTTTAAAGAACCACGCAAGGATGAATAGCTTGGTAACATTGAGGGAGGTCAAGTTAGTGGGGAGCTGCCCAAGGAGAACAGTAGTGAGGAAGAAAAACAACAAGAATCAGACAGGGACAGAGTGGAGGGCAGGAGGGAAAGTCATGCAGCTGAGAGGGAAGATATGAATACCATGGAACGTTGGGAAGCCGAGGTGGGTAGATCACCTGAGGTCAGGAGTTCAAGACCAGCCTGGCCAACATGGTGAAATCCCATCTCTACTAAAAATACAAAAATTAACCCAGCATGATGGTATGCGCCTGTAGTCCCAGCTACTCGGGAGGCTGAGGCAGGAGAATCACTTGAACCTAGGAGGCAGGGGTTGCGACCAGCTGAGATCGCACCACTGCCCTCCAGCCTAGGTGACAGAGTGAGACTCTGTCTCAAAAAAATAAAAAATAAAAATGAATACCATGGAATTGGAGCTGTTCCCAGAGTATAAACCAATAAATGAACATCATGGTTCATAGTCTACTGTGTATTAGATAGCTCATGAGTTCGTCTCTTTAAGAACTGAGTTGCTAAAATTTAGTTCCTGAACCTGTAAACATTTGGACTCATGGCAATTCTTACCACTTGGTGGCCATTCTCTTCAACATGTCTTTAGCCACAAAGCACTATTTGATGGAGAGAGTAAAGACATTCCATTTCTTCAGCTCCTCTTAAAGCTCCAAATGCCTCCAGGCCCCACCCATTCCCCCACCTCTCTCTCTTTCTAAACAGAGATTGGTTCTCACCATTTCAAAGGGTTTAGGTTGTTACTGTGGTTTAGTTTAGCTTTGCTTTGTTTTTTGAGGTCCACCTGTCGTATCTGTGACAGAATTTGCAGGAGGTACTCCAGTTGTGATCACTGGGAAGAAAATGCGGTGAAATCAGACTAACCCATAGTTCTCAGTATATCATTGCATGGCTTCTAAGGAACCACAATTTAAACAGTGCATGATAACCAGTATTAATGGATTATAGCCCCTAAATTGTAACAATTGTGACTTTGTAGACTCCTAAGTATCTTCTGGTTTGGGTAACCTTTCTATTATTTGCTTTCTTGGGATCTGTCAGTTACAGTGTGCATTTAGTCCCGTACGTGTGGCTGACATATCCTATCCTAGAGTGGCCACTTGTTTAGAACAGTTCTATTGATCCTGCATGTTCCCTAGGAGGAAACACAAGGCCTTGCTGAGAAGGCTCTCAAGCTTCACTCCCATGCAGTATAGTTTACATTTCTAGTTTTGTGATTTAGTTCTCATGGAGCCATAGGCCATAATTACTCAGCTGTAATGAACCTCACAATGCATCAATGCATTCTTCTCCATTTATATTTGCTTTTATTTGAATGAAATAAATTCATTCAAATAAAAGCAAATATAAATGGAGAATACATTCACAAGATGTTCACAAGAATTATAATAACATAAATGAAACAAACATTTATTTTATTGAAATAAAAGCAAACATAAATGGAGAAAAATGCACTGACTATGGTTCATGACTGAACCATAGTCCTTATTTATGAGACACAGTCTTGCTCTGTTACCCAGGCTGGAGTGCAGTGGCCAATCTCAGCCCACTGCAAACTCCACCTCCGGGGCTAAAGCAATCCTCCCACCTCAGCCTCCCAAATAGCTGAGATTACAGGCATGTACCCAGCTAATTTTTTTTTTTTATTTTTCATAGAGATGGGGTCTCATAATGTTGCCTAGGCTGGTCTCAAACTCCTGGGCTCAAACAATACTACTGCCTTGGCCTCCCAAAATGGTGGGGTTATAGGCATGGTCCACTGTGCCTGGCTGAACCATAGCCCTTTTAAGCATTGAATGCATTTAAAATATTTTCATTGTTCTATCAATAAAATATCCACATTTAAATGCAGGCCTTATAATAATTAATACTACTCACTATTAAATACCAAATTAGAATTGATTCTCTAAAGTGTCTTCATATATTGTACATTGTGCTAGGTAATATGAGTTTTAATTGCTTAATATAAAATTACTTAATGGCACTTATAATTCTTGTGAACATCAGTATAAGTTTTAATAAAATGGTAGAAGCACATGGAGAAATGGTTCTTTGATTGTTAAAATAGTTCATTTTTATAAGGCAGGTAAGAAATTAGTAAGTTAGATAACTACATTAGTCCATTTGCATGCTGCTGAAAAAGACATACCCAAAAACAGGAAGAAAAAGAGGCTTCATTGGACTTACAGTTCCACATGACTGGGGAGGCCTCATAATCATGGCGGGAGGTGAAAAGCACTTCTTACATGGCAGTGGCAAGAGAAAAATGAGGAAGAAGCAAAAGCAGAAACCCCTGATAAACCCATCAGATCTCGTGAGACTTATTCACTGTCATGAGAATAGCATGGGAAAGACCAGCCAACATGATTCAATGACCTCCTTCTGGGTCCCTCCAGCAACACATGGGAATTTTGGGAGACACAATTCAAGCTGAGATTTGGGTGGGGATATAGCCAAACCATATCAATAACCCTGAGGAAAAAATCACAATGCTGGGATCCAGAAAAATATAGATGTTTTTGAATAAGGTTTTTGAATAAGAAAAATCTCCATATATACACAGTTAGATAAACCCAACAGAACATCCTTCAGTTTTGAAAGCCAAGGAAGCTTCATTGAATCCTGTGTCTGCATAAATGATCAGTGAAATTTCAAAATTCACTGATGTGCAGTCTTGCTTCACAAATGGACAAATGGAGATGAACAGAGGCCAATGGCCATGGACATAGAAGGAGAAGGAGTTACAGACAGAATCCCAAACTCTCAATCCAGTTTCTCAAACTGTCCAGCATGTAGTTGCTATTGACTCAATTGTCCTTTGGAAAGGATGAAGTCTCAGATAGTCTCAAAGTTCACTTTACATAGTAACCCATTTTGTCTCCCCTCTAATATTTTGAAAAGGTAACGGCAACAGAAAAGGGTCCTCAGTTTTCTAGGAAGATTGACAAGAAGGAAGCAGCAGGAAGAGAAAGGCAGGAAAATCTTCATACTGGATCATCCATTTCTAGCGATTATAGATAACAGAGTTGCTGATAAAGATAGAATTTCAGTCAACCACTAAGCAGATTCCCACTGAGGAACACCCTGGAGAAACACGAACAGTCAAGACAGAAGACCACCAGATGGCTGATCTTAATAACCCAATAAATACAAGAAAAGAGTGGCACTTCTACCCAGTTCTAAACGAACATCTCATTTGTATGTTGTGTTCTGAGTTTTAGGGAAGACAAAAATGCCAATTCTAATTTACCTTTATTCACACTTTGCCAGGGATTCAAGGAAGGCAGAAAAAATTGTACAAAATAATCTTTTGTTTTTGTTCCCTTCAAGATTCTCTTTTACTCTTTTTGTTCCTTATGCCATCACTCCACCACAACCATACTACAGACTTCGCAACTGCTGTCTCAGCCTTTGAAACACCTAAACTTCAACATGCTGAGATTACGCCTATTACGCTAATGAACTTCTACAGGAACGAACAAACGAAAAGGAAGTAATGCACCACCTCCTGTTTCTCAGCCATCACCACCTCCCAGGTGCTTCCCAGAGCAGTTCCCTGCTGCCACGGGGCTCCTGCAGGAGCTCCTCCCTGCTAGGCATGTCCTCAACCCCTAGTCATCAAGTCTAGCTCAGCCTCTGCATTTCAGCTCAACGTCTAATTTCCCAGCGTAGATTCCAGGCAGCCGCCCTGTTTCATGTCCTCTTAACATCCTCTGCTTTTCTATCTCATCTTCCTTCTTGACAAGTTCAAAGTCATGAGGACTGGATAGAGCTCCATCAAAGCAGGGAATGTTGATTTTATACACTGGAGCTGAGTGGGCAGTCTGGCACAGAGCAAGTGGCCAGTAGGATTACGGAATGCATGAACCTTAATTTTCTATTCCTTTATTCCTGTCATTTCCTGTACCTCACAAAATGTTCCCAACCATGCCAACATCACCACCTGTGAAAATCCCACCACTCTTCCCTTGGGCCTCACCTCCATGAAGTCCTCTTTGATCACCTTTGTGTTTTCTGAACTCCATAAGCACTTTCTATGCGTGTTTCACATCACTCATGATATACTAACTTGTGTTATTTCCTCTGCCCTATTCACAGAGGGAAGTCCTTGCATGGTCCTTCACATCCAATCTTATTAGCATTTAGGTCATGGCATAAAAATCATCGTTTGCCTACACGTCTCACTCCATCCCCAATTTTTCCCAAACTATGAAAGCAGTGAATTCAATACTCGTTTTTCTATCTTAGTGCTTGGCACAGAAGAGATGCTTGGTAAGCTTTTTACTTGCTCTGCGGAATCTGAATTGCAGCCATTTTTGTGAAGTCTTCTCTACTCGGCTAGATTCCTACATCCTGAAAGTCAGTCTTTGTTTTCTGCATAGTGACTAGCACAACAAATCAATGTGTTATAAAAGTTATCTACATTTCTTTCAATGGAAAGATGCAAATTTTAAAAACGATCTTTTGCTTTTCCACTCTTGAAACATAAACATTTTCTCTGTACCTTGTAAATAATACTTGCGTAAGATGATCACCACTGAAGTTATTTTCCCAAACCCTGAGTATTAAGGGGAATGATGACTGCCTACTTGAGGAAGCTCAGATGATCCGAAGATCCCAAACTATGTTCCTTTCTCCAAGAAACATTAGTGGAAGGGAGTGTTTCACCACATGTGGGTCAACAGTACGTGACATCGTCTCAGTTGTGATTTGATTCTCCATATGCTTATAATTTCCATTCTAAATCTCAAGTTTGGTAAACTGGCTTTAAGGGATTTTTGCCACATATATCTTAAAAACTAAATTTTACTGTGGCTCTTGATAACTTTTTGAGAGCTAGCTTGACCTGAGTAAGACAGATGATAGCTCCTTAATGACCGCCATCAAGGCATGATGAAGTGCGGGTCCCTGGGAGCCATCAATCACCTGCTGGAAGGACTAGGAGGGCTGTTTCCCGGCCGAGAAGCAGGCCTCAATCTCTTGGCCCATTACTCTCACGTCTTCCTTCTATTCTTCTCACTCCATTAGGCTCCTGTGTATCTGCACTGAGGCTATCTCAGAGTGACCTCCCATCTCTAATCCTTGATATTTCCATTTGGGTCTAATGTACCATCTCGATTGAAACATTTGGGAAAGCTTACAGCGGTATTTAATCTTTCTTTGCTCTAGTTCTCAGAATCTCATTTATAAATCTATTTGAAATTATCTTTTTTGTATCTATTACTATCTTTTCCAGTAGATCGATATGTACTCTCTCCTAATCTAAAACCTAGTGGTCTAGAAGCACACCTCTTTCTGAGTAATTGTGATAAAGTGCTTTGTTGTTTCTTTGTTTTCAGGGCCTTTGTCTAAACCTGCAATGCAACCATCAACACAGCCTCGGACTGACACGTTTGGCTTTTGAATCATTCTATGGAAAGGCAAAAAACGAAGTAAGACTTTTGAAGCCTCTGGGGTTTATAAACCGGTATAAAATTCCTCATATTTGAATATGTTGTAGTAATATGCATGATTTTGTTCTACTGCACATAAAGTGCGATACAAACTATAGAACAGAAGATCGCAGATCATCAAGTGTAAAAAACAGCTGACATTCACCTTGACTAGGAGTTTCCTAGAACAGGGAAGCAAGAAGTATGTATTTTGGAAGCTGCATATTGCTGGAAAGATGGCGTCATAGACTAAACCAAGGTCATGTTCTGTGATAGCAGTGTGAACACTGTTATTTCACACGTGCAGATTCTCTGCTACAGCCGCACTGGTTCTGGCACCTGGTTTTCTTCCTCTGGAGATTATTTTTTCATGTAGCAGTTTACAAGGAATCTTTAACACTACCATGAAGAAGATGGCTGTTAATTCAATTTTCCACCAGGTTATAAAAGAGCCCTGATGAAAAAGAAGTTATGTCATGGTTATCTCACAGAAAAAGGAGAATTAAATTAAGCTTAGGGTTCATACCATCATTGACACTTTTTTCCATGGGAAACTAATGCGTTTTCATATACAAACGAAATTTTGATTCAAATTTGCAAAATTTAAGCTAATTCTGTAATAAAAATCTATCTTCTAATTTTAACCTTAACAATTAAAAAAAAAAACAAGAAATTTTTTGTTATCAAGTATTCAAAACTTGGTTTAGAAATAAGCTGTCCTTGAGTCTGAATGCTGGATTGGGTTTTTGAAAAATGTTCTAAGAAAACTTTCTAGTTTGTCACCCCAAATTGCATGTCAGACAACAGAGAACACTTTGTCACGCTTAGACACCATTCAATCATAATCTGAGTTTGACTTCAAAGTTTTCACAATTCAATTTTGTTTAGAATTAAGAAAACATGACTGTGGGGACCAACGTAAGGGCAGGCAGAGCATTTCTCTTCAGCCAAACACCAGGGCAGAAGGAAAAGGGGAGTGAATGAGTCCATTTGTCCTTTACCTCTGTTTTCATTTTCCACTCTCTACATTTAAGTGTCCAGCTGCTCTTTGACCACAGTGGGACCCCTCAAAGCCACAAAGGCTGGAATTGCTTAAATATATATTTGGAGATGCTTGTGCTGATAGTTATTGTACAGTGCAGACGAGCATGGGCAACACAAGAATATGGAGCCCACGGCTCTCATGCTGTGCAAATGAAGACCGTCATTTGTGACTATCTCAGGGACACTTTTCAATCCAAGAGCATTTCTTAAAAACAAAAGCAAACCAACCTTTTATTGTTATTAGACACCAGAAAAAAAAAAACCCAAAACATACAGTTCACACATGAAACCATCCTGAGAAATTCTGAGTCTCATTTTCTGTGATTCTAATGAAGTCTAAAACAACAATAAAAACAGACAAAAGAAATACAGATTCCTTGGAGGATAGTAATTTGATCAAACTAAAACATTATTAAGAAACTTTTTGGACATAAAATACGGAAATGACTTCTGACATAAATCACAATTGCTCAGTATTAGGAGACTTATTTGCTATTAATTTTGTTTCAGTCAACATCTCTCAACAACATGAAATCAGAGGTGCAGACCATGAATATTAACTTTCATTCAAACTAACGTTCCAGTTGGCATATACTGAGCCTAAGAGGGGGAAAGTGTGAAAAATAGATTGCATGTTGAGTAAGATGAAAACACTCTATTTATTATACTGAGTTTAATAGTTACATTATTTATTATAGTTCAGGGGATAGTTTTAAGTATCTAATTTCATTTGAAATAAATCTTGGAGTTATTGTAAGAGGTGTTACGCTACTTGTTCTGATAAGAAAAAAAATGTTTGATGTATAAGAGTTGAACTCCAGTCAAAATCAAATAATCTAAAAAAGAAAATGTTATTTTACATAACACTTCAGGTAAATTCTGCCTCTCAAAAATAGATGATATATAAAAAATATTATAGCTTGTGTAATAGGAAATCAACACCCCTCAATAAGAATTTCTTTAAAATGACCTTGGTCATTTATTACTTTAAAGAGATCACTTAAATTTTCTTTCTTTTTTATTTGAGTAAATACCCCCATCCTAAACCCTACTGTGTGACTGTCAGGTGTGAGGGAACAGGCAAGGTTCTTGCAGTTGGCTAAGGGGCACCTCATTACCAGAAAAGCACCACTGAAACCACAGGTCTCGGAGGGGAGCGTTGGATGACAGTGGACCTCAGTGTTACGAGTTAGGATTCGGAACTCAGAAATAATGCTCAGGCACTAGGACTTCAGGGTTTTCCTTAGCCTATGTGTGCCCAAGTAAGAGAAACACACATCCCCCAGTACACATACAAACACAAATTATTGTTTTAAGTTTTTAAGGCCAGTGTGTCCAATCTTTTGGCTTCCCTGGGCCACATAGGAAGAAGAATAATTGTCTTGGGCCACACATATAATACACTAGCACCAAAAATAGCTGATGAACTAAAAAAAAAAAAAAAATCTCATAAGAGAGTTTACAAATTTGTGTTGGGCCACATTCAAAGCTATCCTGGGCTGCATACGGTGCCGTGGGTTGAACAAGCTTGGTTTAAGGTATCATAGGTAAATTATAAAATGAAGATCGACACAGAATAACTAAAGTCTTATGCCATATCCAAAGTTGAGTTAATTTCACTAACGGAGAAAATCCTAATTGATTTCATCCCCTTTTTAATCTCAAGCATATATCCTTTGAGCTGACCGGAATTCTTTTTATAAAAAGGTAAGAACTAATAGTATGCTCCCTCCTAAAATAACAGCGATTAGCATAAAGCTGAATTAGGTTCAGGTTTCTCTGTCTAAAGGAGAGTTAGGGTCAAGTTTGTATTTGTACTCTTAAAAACCAAGGGTAAACTTTACTGCTATTTAAAACTATCTACTAAGATTATCTTTAAGGGTATAAATATTAATTAATTAAGAATATATTAGGAACACTGCTATTTTAAGTTCTAAGTACATGGATATTTTGTCTAAGTGATAGAAATTCAAAATTTTAATAAACTTAAAATATATAAAATAAATTATATATAGGGTCCAAAATACTGTCAAAACCTTGACTTTAGAAAATACAGGAGTCAGAGTTTATATTTAGCTGCATTGTGAAAATGCAATCCAGAAAAATGGTTTTAAGAGAGAGTGAAAGAGTTGAGCTCACACTGAACACTTAACTTGAGCTAGCTATTGTCATGGTTAGTGCTCAAACCTTCAGTCCCTTCACTTAACAGGCATTTAGTTGGTGTTTATTAAATACAGAAGAAAAAATATAGTTGGATATGATGCTTCCTTTTCCTACCTTGATAAGAATATCTTTGGGTATTTATGATCCTTAATTCCCTGTTCAAATACAAATTTAGCTACACTCCAAATATCTGCTATGTGGTACCCTTTCATTGTTGTTTGTTCCCTTATTTCCATTTAGATCTTAACATTGACTCAGTGATTTGAATGTCCACGTGTAACAGATTTTTAGAGTTATATTTTTGCTATTGATAGTTAAATTTCTTAATGTCCTAAAACACGACCAGTTGTTGATATCCTCCAGTTGCCGAGTGACTCTCTCCTGATGTCGTGGGCTCACTGGTGGTACGAATCGGACGCGTCCTTCCTAAGCTTGTACTGCAGGAGCCCTCAACTCCACAGAGAGCTGTGTTACTCTCTCTCCCACCATGGTGTTAAATTTATCCACATATTTTGTTAATTCTGACAATGTTTCCTTAGTACATTTTGAATCCGTGTTACTAAGATCATACCATTTTAAACTGCTTTATCTTCCTGCGTTACTAAACCTTTCTAATCCTCAAAACCTCAAAAGTCTCCTTTTCCTGGGATGCTGAACATATTTTTCCTCAAAACCTCGCATGTCTCCTTTTTTAGTAATGTTTCCACCCTCTCCTGAAAATCTATTTTATGTGCAATTAAAATGGTATCAACAGCATTCTTGAGTTAATACTTGCCTGGATTATTACTTTCCATTCTTTTACTTTCGATGTTTTTCTGCTCACATGTTTTAGGTATGTCTTTTGTAACCTGCATAAAGCCAGATTCTGTTCCTTTAACCCAGTCTAAGAGTCATTGTCTTTCACATTTCAGTTAGTGCATTTCCATTTCTTTTCATTTCTGTTACATGAGGTTTTACTTGTGCCATTTTTGTGTGCACTACTTAAGTTGTCCCATTTTCCTATATTTCACCCCCTCTCTTTTTTTTTCATCTCTCAATTTGGCATTTTGTATTTCAGTTCTATCCCTTGAATGGTTATACTAGACAATGTAGGTTCACCTCTAACTTTGAGGGTTTAATGTTGACAATGACTAGACTGACCAAGTGACTGGTCCAGGAATTGCTTCCCAGGAGGTCCCAAGCCTGAGGTTCCAATAAGGGCGGGGAAGATAATGACCTTGGCACAGGGACCATGACCTTTGAGGACATGACTGGCTGTCTCTCCTGGAGAAGGGGCTTCCTACCAGGCCCAGAGGAGCGTGGTCCATGCGGAGCACTGAAGACCTTTGAACTCGAGCCCTCGCTGGGACTTGAGGCCACTCCCACCTCCCCCCAATCACCGTGGCCACACAGCTGGAGTTGATGAGAAGCCAGGGTACTGAACAGCAAGGACTCGAATCCAGCCAAGACAGGGAGGCCCAGCTCTGAACCTATAAACACATGGTGTTCGGAAAGGCCTGGAGAAGCAGCAGCCATTATTTACTGCCAGAAAATTCACGAGGCAAGTCCCATATGTGTTAGGAGTGTGAGGAACCACACACGTCCTACAAGTGCTGCAATGACAAGAAAGCATCCAAAATTCCCCCCATTTGGCACCAGGATCTCCTATGCAAAGAAAGGTCTTTTCAGTGCAGGGAAGATGAGGAAACCTGGAGCCAAAGCTGTCGCCTCCTTCAGAATTCCAAAGTCCACACTGCAGAAGGGATTTGTTGGGGAAGCCAGGCTGAGAAAGTTCCCACTCACTCAGCACGGAGAATTCACACCCAGGAGAGGCCGTCTATGCGAGATTCTTCAGCCACGCTCAGGCCTTAAGCATCCCGAATGCTCACACTGGAGAGATGCCCGGTGAGTGTAATGTGTGAAGAAGCTTCATTTGTCACCCGGAACTTCACAGGCTAACGGGCCTCATGAGCAAAGCCAGCGTGGGGGACTTTCCGCCGCAGGTACACCCTCGGGAGTGCACATCAGAGATGGTCTTAGGGCTGCTGTGCACGCGCCTCCGCATCCTCGTTCAGGAACAATGTGTTCCTGCCTGAGAGGCGAGCAGGAGCGTGGCCTTTGTGAGAAAGGCTTCGGTCATGATGCAACCCCATGTCCAGAGCACCCATGCCAAGGGCCACAGAGTTGTGAGGCCTTCGGGGGCGATGATGGACTTTCTGACCTTCCCTGGAACCCAGGGTGAGTTGTCACCCCCAGGGCTGATGGGAAGAAGCCTTCCTTCCTCTCCATCCTGGTGGGGCAGCTGCCGCCCCCACATGATCAAAGAACGCAGCCTCTAGTGTCACCCACACTACCCTGGAGCAAATCCAGACTGTCCTGTGCACAGAACTGGCCTAATCTGGACAAGGGGACCCAAGGGGTGTCAGCTGGAAGCTTCTGGGCAAGGCTTCCTTGTCCCATGGATTTTAAAGTCTCTATGTGACAGCTGTGATGGCTTCAAACAGCCTATGAGTCCCCTTATTTGTGGACTGTGGTATCCAAAGTGGGCAGAAGTTGCCCTAGAACAAATCCCCCAAAGATACCAGGAATGACTGTGTTATTAGATGAGATCGGGCACGTTCAGGGTGGTATGGCCGTAGACAGGAATGACTGTATTATCAAACTCTATCCTCCATGTTTTTTAAGTTCTCTTTTATTTTTTAAATCTATTATGTTCTGGCTGCATTTAGGATAATTTTTTTCAGGTCAAATTTCAGATCTAAGTTCTATTTTCTCTTTTTACCTATGTCTTATCTGCTGTTCAGCCCATTTAGTAAACTTTGTGTCAATTATTATAATTTATATATAATTCTAGAATTTCAGGTGTGTGTGTGCTTGTTTAATTTGACTGGATATTTCCAATCGTTTTGTTTTGTTTTTTTAATCTTTTATTTTTTAAACATATTAAGCATCCTTATACTCTATCCTTGATGATTTCAATTTCTATGTTCTTTACTGTTTTGAATTCTGCTCACTCTTATTCACCATGGCTTGTTTCCACATATATGTTGTGATTTTTCTGATTGTTAATTTATGTTCCTTGAAACACTGAGAAAATTATTTCAGGACTCCTTTGAAAGTACAGGGCTCCTAGAGGATTTGGGCTACTCTCAGCCCAGTACCCAGGACTACAACTCATGACTGACTACATTAAACAACATTCTAGACCCAGGACTTTCTGTGCCGCACAGGAAGAGTGAATATTGGCCCCAAACTCAGGTTTGAGTTATAGATATAACTCTAACATTATACACATAATGTTGTATATATGTATACCATATACATACATAGAATGTTGACCCTAAAAACTTGTAAGCATAAACCCATCGGTTTGTACTTACAAGTTTATAGGGGCAAGATTCTATGTATGTATATATGTATAACACATATGTATATATGGAAACATAGATGTATATATAATTATATTATTAGATGCAATTATATCTACATATTATGTATGCTATAATATATACATATTACATTTGTATACATGTAAACGTATGTAATTACACTTAAGAATTCTGCCCTATGAAATACGCACTCTAATTTCATCCTGGTAGGAAACTGGCAAGACTGTGTGATACCTCAAAAATCTGTGAGTGACATACAAGTCATTATCTTTCTTCAGGATTTGGATGAATAAAAATCTGTTCGTAGTCCCTAGCCCTAGGCTGGTGGAGAGTGACTGTTTATTGTTGCCCACTGCCATCCTGGTATCCTTCCGATCAGCCAGCAGATTGGCAAGAGAAAGCTCCTCTCATGATTCTCGCTCAAACGCTGTACCTGTTGCTGTTGACAGACTCTGTTCCTGAGAGAAGGTATTAACTGCCAGCTGGCTCTGACAGTTTGGGAACTAAGGCTGACATTTGTGCTGGCAGCATAACAGTATTTACAACTCAGGAAATGTATACAGTTAGATTACGACGGAGCCAGCGAGTTTTGAGGTTAAAAAAATACAACAATATACATGTGAAGCATGACCATAATAACAAAATTAACTTAAAAATAAATTCAGAGCTTAGGGGTTCTTTCAGGAAATATCTGCGGTCTATGAAACATATGGCATATATGTGCAAAGAGAGAAAGGATTACAAAGAACAGAGGATGGTAATTCAATTACATCGCCGGCCACCCATACTATATTTTGTAATAGTCCACTATGTCAGAAAATTACTAAAGAAAGGTAGAAGTAGATAAAGCAGAAAAAAAAATCAATTTTGAATGATGGGGAATATAAATATAAAATATCACTGGAGCAGGAGAGAAGGTGAATCTCATGCTTCTGTAATTTTTCTTTTGGAGGCTCTGCACTGGCTCTCCTTTTCTCACCTCTCCTTTTCCTTCTATGGATATAACTTTGCAATGAGTTTAAATTGGCACATTTCCACACGGTCCCCCCAAATGATTAAGTCACTAGGAAAGTGACCCTGAAAGGCAGGGGCACAGGTTGGAATTTTGGTGAATGTAATTAACCTATTTAAATATCATAACACTTTTGGCAAACATTATTAGATGGAAGAACAGTCAGTTGACATTTTGTCTCTAATTTCCTGGCAAACAGTGAAGATGTCATCATTTTCTTGCAATAAGAGGAATGAATGTGACCAGGTACTTACTGCACTAGTCCCAGGGCAGTGTGGGGATTGGCATTCACCACTCATCCGGTTTGGAATTAAAACATCATCCCAGCAAGATGGACCCTTTGGGAAAAAACAACAATATATGCTTATATGAGTTATAATAGAAATGTACTCCTTAAGACATGTTTCCACTTATGTTATAAAATAATAGTGAAATTAGTGTGTAGTCCAATGATTTTCAAAGTGTGGTCTGCAGACTCTGGGGGTCCCCGTGACCCTTTCAAGGGATGTGCTAGGTCAAAACTATGTTCATCAACATACAAAGACGATATTTGACATTTTGCTCCAAACCTGTTCGTTTTCCACTTATAGCCTCCCCCTACGGCTGAGGTTAAATGCACCTTACTAGAAAGGCCATCCCTGACTTTGCTCCACTTCTGTGTCTGCCCTTTCAGGCTTCCTTTGCTTCATAATAATTATTACTACCATCCCCACCCAACCCCACCATGCAGTGGCCCAGCACAGAGCAAGGGCTGTCTGTCCCTAGTCACCACAGCTACACAAAAGCCAACTTGGTCTGCTCTGTTCCCTGAGGCATCCCAGCACCTAGAGGAGGGCCTGGCATCGAGGGGGTGCGCAGCAAGCTTCCCTAGGCATCAAAGAAATAAAAATTCAATAAAAGCAACACTTCTTTTAAATTAGAGAAGATCATTTAAAATGAAATATCAGTGTCAATTATTGCATTCCTCTTGGAAAGCAAACCAGTAAAAAGCATCACAAGCATTCAACTGGTTCATAACTTTTTGACTAAATTTTAAGAAATCGGGCTGTGCACGGTGGCTCATTCCTATAATCCCAGCACTTTGGGAGGTTGAAGGGGGCGGATCACCTGAGGTCAGGAGTTCAAGACCAGTCTGACTAACATGGCGAAACCCTGTCTGTACTAAAAATACAAAAATTAGCTGGGTGTGGTGGCACGCGCCTGTAATCACAACTACTCAGGAGGCCAAGGTAGGAGAATCGCTTGAATGCAGGAGGCAGAGGTGGCAGTGAGCCGAGATTGTGCCACTGCACTCCAGTCTGGGTGACATAGCAAGACTCCATCTCAAAAAACAAACAAATAAAGAAACAAAAAATCAAAAGCAAAAGGCAGATAGGGGAGAGGGCACAGGGGATCAGGAGCAGCAAATTTCCAGATCCTCAAATCTTCTAAACAGAAAGTTCAGACCATCTACTTGGAAACAAAAATCAAAATAGAATGTTTAACTTGCAGCAATACCTTCAATTTCAACCTAAAATTCTGTGCCTGACCTAATTATCAATTAAATGGGAGAATGGGAAAAAGTGGCTTGGGGAGATGCAAGTTGGAAAGTTGGCTTGTATGTCTGTGAGGGCTCAGGGTTCAGGAAATGATCAGATGCCTGAGGAAAGCCCCAGGTGGCAGCCTGGACCTCCTCACCGTGGGTGGAGCAGTGAGGTGGCCACGGGAGGGGCGGAGTAAGAGGTGGGTTGTCTCCCCAGCTGTGACACAGAAAGGAGGAGGAGGGAGGGTGGCATCAAGGGCTGGAGGGGATTGACAGAGCTTCCAGGAGACGTGGTATGAGGCCACTGCCCAGTGCAAGGCAGAAGGTTAGGACTCAGGGGCAGAGGCTGTGGTGATTTTACTACCGACGACGTTTGGACCCAGCTAGTGTTTAAGTTGTAGGAGCTAAATCGGTCATCACAAGGCCCATCTCTGCTTCAGGAACCAGTGTAGAGCCGCCCTGGCACTTTGTAGCAGATGCTGAGGAAAATGCCGTGGGAGGTGGGCAGGGGTTCACAGCCACCCCTGCCAGTCTGCAGGAGTGCTCCCTCCCTCCCTCCTTTACCATTACATGTGTGCACACACACATGCATGCCACACACTCACATATACATGCACATACCACACACACTCAGGCATGCACGCACACAGGCATGCACGCACACAGCATGCCACACACCACACATGCATAAACACACCACATACATACACGTGCACACACATCCCACACACCTCACACACCCCACACACATATACCCACATGCATGCACGCACACCAAGACACACCACACACGCACGCACACCAAAACACACCACACATGCATAAACACACCACATATGTACATGTGCACATGTATCCCTCACACCCCACACGCCTAACACACCCCACACACATACATCCAAACACATACATGCACACCAAGACACACCACACATGCATAAACACACCACGCACACACGCACACACACACAATACCACACAGCACACAGGCATACACATACTACATACACTCACACACTCATGCATGCACACACGCACTATTCTAGAGAAAAGTCGGGGACGCAGAGCAGTTCTCCAGGCCTGAGCCGTACCTGAAAGAGACTGAGCCTTTTGACGGAGGCTCTTTACCCCAGACTTCAAAAGGAGCTGCATCTGGGATCCACCGATCATTAATCCAAAGGCCACCGCTTAATATGGAGGTAAATTTGCAGAAGAGTTCTAGCAGGACTGAAGCTGCGATGGTTTGAAAAGCCTGCTTTCAAGCTTGGCCCTTGGCTGGCATCTGGGAATGTGAATTTTGGAAGCGTCCACATCATTCCCTTACTGCTACGGGTGGTGTGCAGAGCCTGAACTGTCTGCACAAACCATGGCTATGCACAACATCTTCTCACCCTCGGCAAGGCTGGAATTTTGATAAGCCCCAGGCAGAGGTGTCTGCATGACCAGTTCCCACTAAAATCGCTGGGCACTGACTCTCCATTGAGCTTCCTGGCAGACAACACTTCACACGCGTTGTCACAACTGAGTGCCTCTCGAGTGACCACTGGGGGAGGACTCAGAGCCTTGCCTGCGGTTTCCTCTAAACTCCTCCCCCTGGGCCTTTTCCCCTCGCTTCATATCCTTTTGTTGTAGTGAATCTTAGCTATGTGTGTGACAGGACAGCAAGTCCTGCAGGCTCTCCTGGTGAATCACTGAATCTGGAGGGGGGAGGTGGTCTTGGGGGCCCAGGACATGACGACATAGGATTGGTGATCAAGGCAATGTTCTCCCAGGCACATAGGAGGGTCGGGGCTCATCATTAATATCACACCAGTCACAAAGAACAAGCCGTTTCATTTTCTTTGCACATCCCACTGTGTTCACGATAATGGAAGCACTTATGTGATTTTCAACTTTAGAGTAACACTGTTAAAACTGAACAGAGGATGTTAATTATGATTATGTAACCAAATATATATGTTATTCAGCTTGGACAATATAAAAGCAAAAACAGAAATGTGAGGACTTGGAAGGCAGAAGTGAGGCTGGAGAGAAAACAGAAAAGTGCTGATGAATTCCCTGACCTGCCAAGCTGTTTTTATTAGAAGGTTGTCTGCACCTTTGATTTTTAAACATGAGCATATATTCACTCGATAAAAGTTACAAATGTATAGAAATAAAAGAGAGGAAAAGAAATGATACCTACGACCTTGATCACGTTCATCAGCCTCATTTTTCTGGCTTAAAGTGAGAAATTCAGTGGAGATAAATGTGGCTAGAATGCAGTCTGCTACAATGAATACACTTTTTAACGTGAGGACCTTTCTTACTCCTATACAAAAACTTTGAACTATAGTTGCTTTAGCCATGCAACTTCTGGAACACTGTGTACGACGATTAGGCAATTTAGGTTTTATATTTTCTAAAATATGACAGGAGCAAAGTTAAACGTGCTTTGTAATGGCATAGATTCACTGGGACATTTGTTTCTATTTTCTGGATAGTCATAACATTCATACTAATAGTGTGAGTAGTGTGGATAAATTAGCATGTCTATTTTATTATATTGAATTCCCATATTCAACAGAGGATTTTAATTATGATTATTAAATATATATGTAATGTACAAATTACATGGCAAATTGCAAATCCTTTGAGGGGAACCCAGAGGGCACATCTTGCCCCTTTGTTTGTTTTAATGTCTGTTTCTCTGTAGGTTGTGATTTGTTCTACCTTTACGGACACTACAAATCAGATTTCTCTCTTTTTTAGACAATTAGGAAAACTTTAGAGTCAAATTTGTGGACCAGCTCTTGCAATTTTACATAAATCATAATACACACTTCGTTTACCAAAATTACCCTTGGCTTCATATTACTTTCCTTTGATCCCTTTCCTCATCTAATTTAATTTTTCCTGGTTTTCATCTGCATGTATCCCTGCAAGGTTGTCACATCATTCTGAAACGAGTCAGGGGATAATTAGGTAATTGTCGGGCCTTGTGATGTAACCTGACTGACAGCTCTAACAGGAGCCGTGCTCCCTGGGATGGTAGGTCATCTCGCCTCCAGGGACAAGGTGATCTCTGGCCAGATGCCTGTGCCAAGCTCTGGCTCTCATACTGTGGCTGGTGGCAATTCCCAGTGAACCACACTGTGCTTGAGGCACCGAAAAGTCCCTGCGTTTAAAAGAAATCCATTTCGCTGTGGTTAACCATTAACTAAATGGGACAACATTGCTTCTCTTCTCTGGAAGTTTTTTCTGACTGACTCATGACACATGCAATGGTCAATAACACACCTACGTGGCAACAGCCAAGAAGGAGCACTAATAGGCCGGGCATGGTGGCTCATGCCTGGAATCCCAGCACTTTGGGTGGCTGAGGAGGATGGATCACCTAAGGTCAGGAGTTCAAGACCACCCTGGCCAACATGGTGAAACCTTGTCTTTAATAAAACACAAAAATTAGCTGGGCATGGTGGCGGGTGCCTGTAATCTCAGCTACTTGGGAGGCTGAGGGAGGAGAATCGCTTGAGCCAGGGAGGCAGAGATTGCAGTGGGCCGAGATCACACCACTGCACTCCAGCCTGGGCGACAGAGTGAGACTCTGCCTCAACAAGAAAAAAAAAAAAAAAAAAAAGAAGTAGCACCAATAATTAAATGCAGGAATTAGGGCCCAGTTATATTTTGCTTCACAGAGTAAGACTTCTTACCTCAAAGTCTAGAATTCAGTGAGACTTTTCTGTGCATATCACAGATGTTTATTTTTTCATATTTAAATTTTTACTGCCCTAATAGCAACTAAAATATTTATGGAACAATTCCCGTAATTGCCACATCAGGTACTATGTTATCTGACAAATTCGTGTTCTACAGAGACATTATAGAAAACTCATTCACACATTCTTCTTGATTTCAAACCATAACACAATGGTGTAAGTAGTAAAACTGAATGGAATTCTTTTGAATCTGGGACTTTAACACAGTAAAATAGATGTTAGTTTATGCAGCTGCTCACACTAATAGTGTGAATGCTATGGCTATCCTGAAAGCAGAAACAACTGTCCAAGTGAATTTATACCCTTACAAAGCAGATTTAACTGTGCTCCTGTCAAATTTTGGAAAACATAAAACTTTAATTGCCTAATCATTGAACACAGTGTTTTAAGAGTTGCATGGCCAAAACAATTATAGTTAATAGTTTTTAAATAGTAGCAAGAAAGGTCTTCAGATTAAAAAGGACTGCAAAAATGCATGGCAGTAGAAGGGAGCTATGGATGATAATACGTCAATTAGAGAAGCAAAACCACTATTTCATCCCTCAAATCTACCGAATTAGAGAAAGATATCTGAATAAAATGTCACATAGTCTAATAGGAAAAATTTGGCTGGTTTTTAGAGAACGTTCTCTTTTTTTTTGCCTAGTAATGACGATAACCAAGAAAAATATATAAATTATTTTAGCAACACTAGCAGGGTGAGGAAACCATGGGCTGCTGGCCAAATCCCACCTTATACAGACTCTGTGCTAAGAAATGTTTTCATGTTTGTTAATAGTTGAAAAGCACAAAAAGAAGAATGTTTCGTGACACATGAAAACTATGAGAAATTTAAAATTCATTGTCCATAAAGTTTTATTGGCATATAGCCACATAAAGCATGGTTGCTTGTATGCTACAATGAGCTGTTGCAACACAGACCTCATGAACCACACAGCCTATCACGTTTACTGTCGGGCCCTTTATAGAAAAAACTTGCCAACCCCTGATCTACAGCAAATTAAATTTTCCAAACTCATACTGAAAAGTACTCTTTTATTTTTAATATTGTGGCAGCACTTTGGCTAACATATAATCGCATATGTTTGTATGAGTAGGTATGTCCTGGGTCTCAAGTGAGAAATTACAATGAAAACCTTAGTGCTGTTGACCTGAGAATTCCGAGAAGACGGTGATAGAGAAGCAGCAATTGAATCCTGGGATTCATCAAATTGTTTGCATCAGTAAGTGGAAAATGACAACTAGAGATGGCATTTGAGGACTGGTCCTGACTAATGTTACTGTCTATAGAAAAGCGTGAAGCAAATATTACCTAAACACGTCTATATGATGCATGTAAATCAGAAATACAGAAAAATGACCCCACAGAGGGAAAGCATTGATAAAATCTGTAACATGTGGGTTTTAAAATTTATTTTCAAAAGTTCTAGAACTCATAATCTGAAAGCCATTTTGGCTATGTCTTTCAATGCCCAGAAAAGTGGAAAATTGAAGTATGTAACTGACTATTTCATATCCAAATATTATTCAGACACAGTCCAGACTGACAAAACAAAATAACTATTTTTCTTGAGTTATCTAAATAAATGCTATAATCTGCTCATCATATGTGAGTATATGCATTGATGCTTAAAATAAATTGCTAATTCTATTTTCCAAAATGTTAATAGAAAACCATGGCATTTACAGTTTTTGAAAAATGTTATTTAATAGTAATTTTACTTAAACTATACTTACCCTATTATCTCATCTTGTCATCGAATATGAAGGATTTCAAATATTCTCTTGAATAATCCACAAACATTTAAGCCACATAATTAAGTGTCAGGGACTAAAATAATTTTGTAAATCATACTAAGGACATAATACAACAACAGCAAAACTATCTTGAAAAAGCTGTACCCAGAAGCTTGAGTCCTCCCTTGATGTTTTTCTATCTGTGTCTGCAACAAAATGATACAAAGAAGGAGCTTTGAAGTTCACAAACCTGTTGTATTTCATTTCTACCAATGACTAGCTATATGTTCCCGAGCTAGTTGCATGGACCCATTCCAAACTTAGTACTCTTCATCTGAAAAGTAAGGAATTAAATACCTACTTCACAGAGTGTGCATGAAGATTAAATGAAACAACACAAATACAAACAACACTGTGCAAAGGCAACACAACAAACGCCTTTACACAGTTGCTGGCACATAGAGAGTTAAAAAAATGGCAACTGTTACAAGTATTATTTCTTATTTCTCAAAATAGAACTGCCTGAAGAGGGTTATTTTTGGTTTAGTAAAAACTGAGCAGTAAGAAGCCCTTTCCAAGGGACCTGGACCCACGGCCCAGTGGGTTTCTGAATTTATCCTTTTTCTCAATTTCCCTATTATCCAGCCCTCCCCAGGATCATGTCACTTTCTACAGCATGCTGTTTATAACTCTTCTAAAGCATGTATCGCCCTCTGTCATATAGTAGACACTGACACTGTTCTGAGCATCCATCTTCCTTCATTTGATTTAAAGATCCTACACTGTCACAAAGCCAAGCACAGTGCCGTGGTTAGAGCAGCAGCATAATAAATGCAATCATTAAATAGTAACCAGGAAAAAGAACGAAAAAAATTCGTTAAACCAAAATATTCATCCACTTACCAAGTATTTATTGTTGCTCTTAAACCCTGAGACTGCAGTTATAAAAAAGGGAGAATAATCGCTTTTCTTGTAGACTTTCTATAGTAGCTACAAAAAAATGGTATTACAAATGAACCAATCACATCCATTAAAATGAGTAAGATTTTTGAAAATGCCCATGTAAAAGACAGGCAAGTTGGAAGACAACTGGAATATACACACTGTTGGTGCAAATGGAAAATAGTATAGTCACTGCTGAAATCTACTAGGCATTCTTTTTTTAAAGTAAACATAAAAGTAACATATGACTCAGTTATTCTACTCTTAGGTAGTCATGTGAGATAAATGAAAATATATCCACACAGAATGTTGCAGGCAAGTGCTCCTAACAATTTTATTCATAGCAAATGTAAACTGGAGGGCACCCACATATCTATGAAATATTTCATCTGACTGGATAGACAAGATGTAGTATGACTATTCAGTGGATGACCACTCAAGAATAAGCAGTGTCCTGTTACCTATAAATGCAACAACATTAACAATTCTCAAAATCAGCCTGAGTGAAAGAAGCCAAACATGGAATATGTGGCATGATTCCATGTATATGAAATGCAGAGGTCGCTTGGGGCTGGGAGCACAGAGTGGGAACAAGCCACATAAACACATAAGGGTTATTTTGGGGGTTATGGGCTGAACTGCATCCCCTCAAAATTTATGTTTAAGTACTAACCCCCAGTTCCTCAGAATGTGAATGCATTTGGAGATAGGTCTTGACAGAGGAAATTAAGTTAAAATGAGGTCATTAGGGTGAGTCCCAATCCAATATGACTGATGTCCTTAAAAGCAGACGAAAGGCCATGTGAAAATATGGGGAGAAGGTGGCCATCTGCAAGCCAAGGACAGGGGCCTTGGAAAACACCAAGCCTGCTGACACACGTTGATCTCGACTTCTAGCTGCCAGAAATGTGAGAAAATACATTTCTATTGTTTACGCTTTCCAGTCTGGGGTATTTTGTCATGGCAGTCCTAGCAGACAAATATAGAGGGTATGGAAATGTTCTTTATCATGACTGTGCTGGTGGCTTTACGTTGTTATGTACTTGTCAGAACTCCTCAAATTGTACCCTTCAAATAGAGAAAGTCTATTTACACAAATTATTCTCAATAAAGTGGGTAAGGAAAACAATGAACTGAGCAATTGACAAGGAAACTCAATAAGAGACAGAGGCTCTCTGTAGCAAATGTTGCTTGAAAAACTGAATATAAATATCTCACTCAATACAGAAAGCAAATGGGAACTTCTTTATAACCTTGGAACAGGTAGAACTTCCTTCTTGTAAGGACACAGAAGGCTCTAATCCCACATAAAGGAATGTATAAATTGAATTTCAATGAACATTAGAGCTCATCAAAAACACTAAAATATGACTATGCAAGCCACAGACTTGGGAAAATATTAGTAATACATATAATTGTAAAATAAGTAATCTCAGAGCTTATAAAGAGCTAATATAAAGGACACATTAATAATACAGACATAAACACACCAGTTAAATATAAGCAAAAACCTTGAACAGGCTATTCACAAAACAAGACGTATAAGTGGCCAATAATTATATAAAACGATGGTCAACATCATTAATAACAGGGAAAATACAAGTTAAAATCACAAGATACAATTTCACTTGATTTCACATTTTAGCCACTATGATAATACTAAATGTCGGTGAGGATAAAGATTAACAAACGCTCTCATATATCATTGGTGGAAATATAAAACAACCACTTTGAAAACGGTTTTGGAATTTCTTTCTTTTTTTTTTTGATACAGAGTTTCACTCGGTCGCTCAGGCTGGAGTGCAGTGGTGCGATCTCCGCTCACTGCAAACTCTGCCTCCCAGGTTCAAGTGATACTCCTGCTTCAGCCTTCCAAGTAGCTAGGATTACAGGCATTTGCCACCACACCCGGCTAATTTTTGAATTTTTAGTAGAGACAGAGTCTCACCATGTTGGCCAGGCTGGTCTGCAACTCCTGACCTCAAAAGATCCGCCTGCCTTGGCCTCCCGTAGTTCCGGGATTACAGGCAAGAGCCGCAGCGCGCAGCCCTGGAATTTCTTATTACGTTAAACATATAGTTAAACTATGACTCAGCACTTTCACTCCAAGGTGTTGGTCCAAGAAAAATGAAAATACACACACACACACAGAGCAACATAGACTCGTACAAGCATCTAACATCACAGCCTTACTCATGTTAACCCAAACCTGGAAACAAGCAAATGTCCTTTGACAGTGACTAGAATAAACCATGGGGTCTCACATAGTGGCAGACTCAGAAATGAAAAGAGAGCTACTGAGTCACACAACCACATGGATGAGTCTCGAAACAAAACACCATATTTACCAAAAGGAGCTGGCCATAGAAAAGTATGTATTATATGATTCCATTTATATGAAATCCAGCAAAAAGAAAGATTAATCTATGGTGATAAAAATCAGAAGAGGTTATCTTTGGAATGGGGAGGTACTGACTAGAAAAAGAGATAAGGGAACTTTCTGGAAATGTTCTACATTTTGGTTGGGGTAGTAGTTACATGAGTGTATGTAACTGTCGAAGCTTTTAGAATTGACACAGTGCATTTTGTAGAGTGTAAATTGTTCTATAATTTAAAATAATAGACTGAATCTCCTATCCCATCCTTCAGTGATTTCCTCTTAGCTTTTGGAAACAATAGTCTGTGATTTCTGTTATAAGATAATCCAAGTCACTGCCAATCAACACAAAAGACTAACCAGTCCTAGGGCTTTGAACTGGTTACTAACCTTCATCATCAGGCTACAAAACTCTTAAAGTCAAGGACTGTGTCCTACATATATCTATGTGCTTTGCTGTGAATAGATAAATGTTTTACCTAAACATAGTGAATACACAAGAATAATTAAGTCAGACTTTAATTTTCTCATCTGTAAAATAATGAAAACTGAAAAATCTGTATTTTCAAAGTTACATTTTCTTTTAAGCAGGGTACTTTCATTACATGAAATTGTCTATAGTAACCAAATACATAAAACAAATAAAGCTGACCCAATGTGGTTGAAGAAGAAGGACGAGTCCCCAGAATTCTCATTAATGGCCTCTTTTCTCTTTGTCCCATGTGATGCCCTTAAGGGCCCTCCCCACAGAAAACAATTTGAAATCCTAAAAGTCTCTTACAATAATACACCATGGGTATGCTCAGAGAAAAGTCCACAGTGGTAAAGAATCTGGCAGAATATGGTTGAATCAAATTGTATTAGGGTTCTTCAGAGGGGCAGAACTAATAGGATCTATGTGTATATGAAAGGGAGTTTATTAGGGAGAATTGGCTCACATGATCACAAGATGAAGTCCAAGGATAGGCCGTGTGCAGGCTGAGGAAGAAAGAAGCCAGTAGTGGCACAGTCCGAGTCCAAAAGCCTCAAAAGTAGGGAAGCCAACAGTGCAGGCTTCAGTCTGTGGCTGAAGACCTGAGAGCCCCTGGCAAACCACTGGTGTAAATCTAAGAGTCCAAAGGCTGAAGAACCTGGAGTCTGATGTCCAAGGGCAGGAGGAATGAAAACATCCAGCATGAAAGAAAGATGGAAGCCAGAAGACTCAGCAAGCCAGTTTATCCCAATTTCTTTGGTTTGCTTTGTTCTAGCCATGGGGGCAGCAGACTGGATGGTGCCTACCCACATTGAGGATGGGTCTTCTTCACCCAGTCCACTGACTCGAATTTCAATATCCTCTGGCAACACCCTCACAGACATGCCTTGAAACAATTCTTTTCTTTTTCTTTTTTTTTTTTGGTCAATTTTTAAAAAAATTATATGTTAAGTTCTAGGGTACACGTGCACAACGTGCAGGTTTGTTACATATGCATACAGGTGACATGTTGGTTTGCTTCCCCCATCAACTCGTCATTTACATCAGGTATTTCTCCTAATGCCATCCCTCCCCCAGCCCTCCACCCCATGGCAGGCCCCAGTATGTGATGTTCCCTGCCCTGTGTCCAAGTCATCTCATTGTTCAATTCCCACCTATGAGTGAGAACACGCGGTGTTTGATTTTCTGTCCTTGTGATATTTTGCTGAGAATGATGGTTTCCAGCTTCGTCCATGTCTCTGCAAAGGACATGAACACATCCTTTTTTATGACTGCATAGAATTCCATGGTGTATATGTGCCACATTTTCTTATTCCAGTCTATCATTGATGGACATTTGGGTTGGTTCCAAGTCTTTGCTATTGTGAATAGTGCTGTAATAAACATACGTGTGCATGTGTCTTGATAGTAGCATGATTTATAATCCTTTGGGTATATACCCAGTAATGGGATTGCTGGGTCAAATGGTGTTTCTAGTTCTAGATCCTTGAGGAATCGCCACACTGTCTTCCACAATGGTTGAACTAATTTACACTCCCACTAACACTGTAAAAGTGTTCCTATTTCTCCACATCCTCTCCAGCATCTGTTGTGCCTGGAAACAATTCTTTACCAGCTATCTAGGCATCCTTCAATCGAATCAAGTCAACACCTAATACTAACCATCACACAAATCCTTAAAAGGCCATCCTTTATTTTCTCTCTCTCTCTTTTAAGGAAACACATATTAGCTGTGGCTAACATATATGTTCATTAGAACACATATATTATGCTCTTTGCTATGGTCTAGATATGTCCCCTAAAATTCATGTGTTGGAAACTGAGTTCCTAATGCAACAGTGTTAGGAGGGGGGCCTAATGGAAAGCGTTTAAGTCACAAGGGCTCCACCTGCATGAATGGATCAATACCCCTAAGAAAGGAGCTTGCAGGAGTGGGTTCTCTTTCTACTGCTCTTCGACCATGTGAGGACACACTGTTCCTCCCTACTGGAGCACATAGAATTCAAGGTGCTATCTTAGAAGCAAAGAGACCAGGCCTTGACCTGCTGGGGCCTTGATCCAGAATTGTGAGAAATAGATTTCTGTTCTTTTTAAGTTACTCAGACCCAGGAATTCTAATATAGCAGCACAAAAAGAACTAAGACATTCTTAAAATACTTAATTGAATCACTGATACAGATCACATGACATTATCCAGGTGAAACAGACATTTGTCTTTATGTTGTGGCAGAAGCTTTCAGTTGTCTCCTCTCTTCTTTTATGGTAACAGAATTTCTGATTTATAGCTGAGCATATGACTCCCTGGAAAAATGACTCTACCTCCCAGCTTCCCTTGCCTGACTGGCCATGTAAGTGATGACCAACGGGATATAACAGAGGTGTCCTGTGGAAACTTCTACTTGTCCTTTTCTTCATCCATTTTTTTTTCTCTCCTGTTTGTAATATACATAGTGCATCTTGAACCACAAGTTCAAGGTTATACAACGTAGAGCAACAATATAGAAAGAGTCTGGGTTCCTGTCATCATGAAGTGCCACAGCAGCCTTGAACCACCTATCTAAACTTTTACATGAGAGAAAAACTGAACTCTCACATTACATAAGTCACTGTTACTTTGAATTTTTAAGATATTCACTGTCAAATCCAATGGTCATTATTATTACAATTAAATTAACTTTGTTTTGATAGAAAAATCAATGGAGCACACAAAACAGTAGCAATATTCTATGATCTAAGAAACCAACAAGAATTTTCTTTTACATACATGAGGATGTTGACATAGGAAGATAAATAAGTCTTTTGGAAGACAAAAGTAAAATATTACTTATAATACATCAGGGAATAAGACCTTATTTATGAGTTCATGAGTTTTTACAATTACAGAAGTTGACCATAAAACCCAAACTTTTAAAAAAGCATTGATCATTTTGATGAAAATCTTTACCAAATGTGTTCTATAGTCCATCCTTATTTCAGCAGATTACACGCGACATGCACATGATGACTTAGCTTTCTAAAAAGAGCAATGGTGTAACGAATATATGCCACTTGCCAGAAGCCATAGTTAATACCATATGTACACCTCATCCCTAGTGACCTATAAACAAAACAAGGTGGGCAGTGCCACAGCCTTTTTTACAGATGGAGAGACTGAGGCTTGGAGATGCTGAGATATGTCCAAGGCTACAAGTTTACAAAGTAACAAAGTCCATTTATCATAAAAGTATTTGTTGTTTTGTTCACTTTTCAGACACAGTTTTAAAAAATACATGTCAAATAAATAAGCATTTTTTATTTACTGTTTTACCATGAACTACAGTGAAATCCTTGCTAACTGTATCTCTTTCCTTCAGAGGCCGATGTCGGACAGATGTCACCGTCATGTCAGGATGGTGGACATTTTCCTATCTGGTGGGTAGGAAATCAGTAACTACATTTACTAATTATGAAAACACCACCAAGTTAAGATTTTGTTACAAGAAATGTGTACGGACATACATTTTTAGAATATATGTCAATATCTTTATACTCCTTTGGCCTCTTTGCTGATAACCTGCTTTTCATTTAGTTATTTCCTGAGTTTTGTAGGTGTTTTTCTTTTAAAGTCTTTATTATCGACAGGTTTTTCCAGGTACATTACTTCATTTATCTCAGAAATCATATGAGACATTATACTTGGCATTTCTTTTCTATTGCTGTGTAACAAATAACCACAATTTTGTTGCTTAAAACAACATGCTTTTATGATCTCACAGTTTCTGTGGGGCAGGCCTGGTGTGACTTCTGCTCAGAGTCCCATGAGGCCCAGTCAAGATGTCGGCTGGGCTGCTCTCTTCCCTGGAGACTCCATTACAGCAAAACTAGCTTCTAAGCTCTCTCAGGCTGTTGGCAGAATTAACTTCCTTGCAGCTGTCATTACAAGGGCCTCGGCTTTCTGCTGCCTGTTGGCTGGAGGCCTCCTGCCGTTCCTTGCCATGTGAGCTTCCTCACCTTGGCAGTTCACTTCATCAAGTCAACAAGGAGAGGGTCTGCTCCAGTCTCCACTGAATCCATCATAAGTAATATCGTCAGGGGAAGTCTTAGATAACATAATTGGCACGGTCAGGGAAATCAAATCACTTTTGCTGTATTTTCTTGGTTAGAGAAAGCAATTTCACATGAGCATGTACAGGAGGTGGTGGGAGGTCACTGGGCCGGGGGGGTGGGGGTCATCTTCATGTCTGTCCATGCCCCGTTTAACAAATTAGGAGAAGGAGCTTTCATAAAATTAAAGTTTCAGAAATGGTAACTCAATATATAACATTAGTTGTCAAGTACTCAGGCTATTTTTCAAAAATATAAACACATGTTTCAGTTTAGGTACGTGAATATTTGAACACTTCCTTGGAGTCCTCCTTTTAAAATTTCAAATAAGTCATTTTATAGCTTGGGAGATGATATGGTTTGGCTGTGTCCCCACCCAAATCTCAACTTGAATTGTATCTCCCAGAATTCCCACGTGTTGTGGGAGGCACCTAGAAGGAGGTAATAGAATCATGGGGGCTGGTCTCTCTCGTGCTATTCTCATGATAGTGAATAAGTCTCATGAAATCTGATGGGTGTATCAGGGGTTTCCACTTTTGCTTCTTCCTCATTTTCTCTTGCCACCACCATGTAAGAAGTGCCTTTCACCTCACGCCATGATTCTGAGGCCTCCCCAGTCATGTGGAACTGTAAGTCCAATTAAACCTCTTTTTGTTCCCAGACTCAGGTATGTCTTTATCAGCAGTGTGAAAATTGACTAATACAGGAGATATTAAGAAATAAATACCAGATGTAACCAGAAACTGAGTTTCTGTTTATTCTGGCATGTTAAACTTTACAAGATTAGAATATGTTACACAAACAGAAACATGTCTTGCTTTAATGAGTGTATATATTCCTTTCTAACTTGAATTTATTCCCTATGATTTCTTAGAGCAAGAACGTATTATAGAAGCAGTTAACTAAAAGGCTCACTACGGTTAATTCTGCAGAAAGAAATAGAAGTTTACAGAAGTTAATTCTGCAGAAAGAAATAGAAAGGATTAATTGTTCCTAAGTAAGCCAAGTTATCTCTACAAATTGTTTAAAACAAATATTAGAAGGAAAACAATAATTAAGAGAAGATCTTAAGAAGACACCTAATCTAGTTCTTATTAATATTTTTCATTTCTGATTTTGATATTATATGAATAATGAAAAATCCCTCATTTGAAAAAACTTTATATGGTATACAGGACGCAAGAGAGGCAAAAATGATTTTTGTAAATTCCAGCCAGTCTCCAAGAGACTATGATCATAATAAAAGCAATGGCAATGGCATCACCTTGCATTAGTATAAAACAGGTTTGTCTACAAATCGCTTTCACATGTCCCAAGCCAACCTTGATTTCCAGTGAAAATCTGTTAATGCTGTGTTCTATAGAGCTCTGAGCCACACATGGATTACTTGGTCATGTGTTGATAATTTGTTCATGTGTAACTGCAGAACTGTTTCCCAACAAAACCCTGGCCCCAAGCCCAAGTATTCACTGGGTTCTCACATGTAACTACTTGGGTATATCTTGATGATTACATCATGCATTTTCATAAGAGTATCCATTTTATCTAACGATTTGTTAATCATCAAAACAAGGATCTTCCCTCATTTTGTAATAGAACAACTGAAGTCCATGCTTTTCTTGGAAAATATAGTCATATTTTAGTAAAAGTGTGATCACAAGGCTGGGCAGAGTTAGCTGGGTAAGTTTGACTCTGCTCTATGTGGGGTCAGCTCGGATGGTTCAGTGGGACTGAATGGTTTCTTTTCAACGTGGCTCTTTTGCATGGCCGAGTGGATGCTGAATATAAGCTGAGGTCAGTGGGCTGGTGTTCTTAGTTCTTCTTAACAAGGGGGTGCCCTAGAGCAGTGGCCCCCAATCTTTTTAGTTGTCTGTCATTGTCAACATGCACAGGTTTGACGGAAGACAGTTTTTCCAGGGACCCAGTGGGATGGTTTCAGGATAAAACTGTTCCACCTCACATCATCAAGCATTAGATTCTCATAAGGAGCGTGCAACCTAGATCCCCCACATGCACAGTTCACAATAGAGTTCTTGCTCCTAGGAGAATCTCATGCTGCCACTGATTTGACAGGAGGTGGAGCTCGGGCTGTAATGCTCGCTCGCCTACTGCTTATCTCCTGCTGAGTGGCCTGGTTCCTAACAGGCCACCCCTGCTGGCCCAGGGCTTGGGCACCGCTGCCCTAGGGCACAGTAGGTGCTTTCTAAAGGTGACTACCCTAAGAGAGAGGAAGTAGAAACTTCCAGTTTCTTAAGGCCTGAGCCTGGAAATGGGCAGAGTGTCATTTCTAACATGTTCTATTAGTGAAGCAGTCACAGAGCTCAGATGTGCTAAAAGAGGTTGGTATTTAAAGAAAATAATTCTAACAGCACATCGTGTCACGTTTTCATCTGGCATTTCACTGGACGGTATTCGACATTTGCAGTTTAATATTTTGTGCCCTTGAGCACTGCCACCCTTAGGAAGGTGTTTGGTGCTGTCCATGCCCTCATCTGTGAAATGGGGGCAGAGACAGCACCAAACACCTTCCTAGTAGATCAGCTCTTCTTAGCCTCATCTCTTGTCACTCTATTCCCAGCATTTTCCCCACTTTCTGACAATGTGGCCCATTTTGATTTTCCTTTATTGTTATTCAAAGTACCTTAGTAATATATGCTTTATTAAAGGCCTTTAGATAATTTAAATATCATGAAACAGTAATGTATCTCATGGAATATAGTTTACAGACACCTAAACAATACAACAGCACTAATTCTTCTGGTTCTCCAAAAGTTCCAATAGGATCCCTCTTAAATTTCCATCAGGTCATGGGCATGGGCAGACAGTATCTGTGAACTTATCAGTGGATTCCAATTATTTTACTGAATTTAATTTTTTTTTTTTTTTTGAGATGGAGTCTCGAGCTGTAGCCCAGGCTGGAGTGCAGTACTGCGATCCTGGCAAACTGCAACCTCTGCCTGCCGGGTTCAAGTGATTCTTGTGCCACAGCCTCCGAGTAGCTGGGATTACAGGCACATGGCACCACACCCACTAATTTTTGTATTTTTTCAGTAGAGATGGGGTTTTACCATGTTGGCCAGCCTGGTCTCGAACTCCTGACTTCAAGTGATCCACCTATGTCGGCCTCCCAAAGTACTAGGATTACAGGCTTGAGCCACCGCACCCAACCTATTTTACTTAATTACTCTAGTTTCTCAAAGACACTCTTCATTTCTCCTAGTGTTTGGAATCACTACCAAACACTATCATAAAGTTCTGAAAAAGCATTCATTGTTGCTAATTTTAAGTCATTGATTTTTTAATTCCTTTAACAAATAATGAGCATCTAAAAAGTGACACACATTTTGCCAGATTGTGGGGATGGAATACTGAAAGAGACTTTTGCACGTCAGGAGGATAAAAGTGATTACACAGGCTGGGCGCGGTGGCTCACGCCTGTAATCCCAGTTGCTTGGGAGGCTGAGGTAGGGGAATCACCTGAACCAGGGAGGCAGAGGTTGCAGTGACCCAAGATCACGCCACTGCACTCCAGCCCGGGTGACAGAGCGAGACTCCGTCCAAAAAAAAATATTAAACAGGCAATTAATACTGAGACTCTTTGAGGGTATATTGGAGGGATGAGAGACCTCGACTTCTGAGAGAGCTGGGTTTTAAGCTGAGAGCAGAGGAATGAGTAGCAGCAGTAGGTTTTGCGGGAAGAAGTAGTATTCTGAGCATGGAGAACAGAAGAAAATTCCACAAGCCCTGAGCCTGATTCTTGGAATATCGATCCCAAACAAGATGATTTCTCAGATACTGACAATTAATCCATAAATAATCCATTTTTATTCGTGCAATTTCCTAAATATCTCCATCCATACCACTAGTCTTGATAACACAATTCAATTGTAATATACATGTAACTGTAATGTACACAAGTTCCTGATTTCAAAGCAATGAGGATGTCAAGATGATAAACAGTGGTTTTGTGCTTTGGTATCAGAATGACTGGGTTTCGAATCTAATGGCCACTACCAGCCAAGTCAGGATGGGGGTGTTTCTGAACATCAATTTTATGATATGTAATGTGGAAATAACAATTGCACGTAACAAACAGGACTGATAGTTAAATGAGATAAAGTAGTTAGCAAAATACCACACGCATAGTGAATATTCGATAAACGTTAGTGGGTACTGCTGAATAACCACAGTAGAACAATATCATCATGGAAAGAACTCAGTAGAGAAAGACTCAGAAGATCTAAGTTCAGGATGCAATTTCACTTGAGTATCACCTCATCGATTTAACATCCTCATGCTTCACTATCTTATCTGTAAAGTGTGGGTACAGGCCAAAAGAGCTCAGGGTCAAATAAGATAACAAATGAGCTAATTAATGTGAAAACCATTGAAGCTACAGCAAACAGGTCACACAGATAGTAGTAAATGAATGAATGGAGCAAGGGGTAGTCTTGAAACCGTCTGATAGGAGAGAGAATTGTACTCACGCTTACTCACTTTATAACAACCCCAAACCTGGGACCACTTTCAAGTAAAAGTGAACTTAAAACACAATGCTGCAGCTGCTGTTGGCCTCAGCGTTAACCAGAGCAAGTGTCTATTCCTGTATTTATTACTCAGTACTGCCAAGTTAACTCAATGGCTGCCTAAACAGAACATCTCAGCTGGTCTTGAAAATTTTCCCAAGTACTACCTCTATAGCTTTGGGTTTTTTTGTTGTTGTTTTTTGTGTGTCTGTTTTCTGAGACAGGGTCTCGCTCTGTCACCCAGGCTTGAGTGCAGTGGCACGATATGGCTCACTGCAGCCAAAACCTCCTGGGCTCAAGCGATCCTCCCACCTCAGCCCCCTAAGTAGCTGGGACTCCAGACGTGCATCACCACACCCGGTTAATTTTTATACTTTTTGTAGAGACAAGGTTTCGCCATGTTGGCCAGACTGGTGTGGAACTCCCGGGCTCAAGCAACCTGCCTGCCTTGGCCTCCCAAAGTGCTGGGATTACAGGCTTGATGCCCTGCCCTCAGCCCTCTACAGCTTTTAAAACATAATTTGGCAGATAATTCACTTCCAATACAAAAACGTGTTTGGTATCATAAAAAGCAAGCATTTCATAATCTAATACTCAATACCATAATTTACCCACTCTGAGAAAATTATCACAAGAAAAAAGTCACATGGAGAAATGCAAATCAAAATCACAATGAGATACCATCTCACACCAGTTAGAATGGCAATCATTAAAAAGTCAGGAAACAACAGGTGCTGGAGAGGATGTGGAGAAATAGGAACACTTTTACACTGTTGGTGGGATTGTAAACTAGTTCAACCATTGTGGAAGTCAGTGTGGCGATTCCTCAAGGATCTAGAACTGGAAATACCATTTGACCCAGCCATCCCATTACTGGGTATATACCCAAAGGACTATAAATCATGCTGCTATAAAGACACATGCACACGTATGTTTATTGCCGCATTATTCACAATAGCAAAGACTTGGAACCAACCCAAATGTCCAACAATGATAGACTGGATGAAGAAAATGTGGCACATATACACCATGGAATACTATGCAGCCATAAAAATGATGAGTTCATGTCCTTTGTAGGGACATGGATGAAATTGGAAATCATCATTCTCAGTAAACTATCGCAAGAACAAAAAACCAAACACCACATATTCTCACTCATAGGTGGGAATTGAACAATGAGATCACATGGACACAGGAAGGGGAATATCACACTCTGGGGACTGTTGTGTGGTGGGGGGAGGGGGAGGGATAGCATTGGGAGATATACCTAATGCTAGATGACGAGTTAGTGGGTGCAGCACACCAGCATGGCACATGTATACGTATGTAACTAACCTGCACAATGTGCACATGTACCCTAAAACTTAAAGTATATATATAAAAAAAAGTCACATTTCTTAAGAATAATTCTCATTAGTGTAAGTGAAGTGACTCGTCCTCCACGAAAATGCAGCTCCGCTGGGTTTTGACACAGTCAATCACCATCATTACTTACCGAGTCCCTCCATGCAGGGTGTACCTATGTTAAACCAATGAAATGCCAACAACGCGTTTCCCCCTTCACAACTTCCAGTCACCAAACTATTCCTGAACCACAAGATGCCTTCAGTTATATTACTATGTGTTGACAGCTTTGCTGTAGGTACATCACAGGGATAGCAGAATTGAAACAGCAGTGATTTTTTTTGTTGTTCCGTTTCATAGAATTTAAACAATGGAGACAATAAAGCCTTACAGATCTGGTGATTCACATGAACGCACTCTTAACGGATTTAATTTAGGAGAACCATATGATTATCTTCGTCTGTTCAAGCTTCCTTTACTAAAAATAGTCTGGCTGTTGCATGGAGGAAAGTTTGCTGTAGCTCAGATTAGAGGCAGTTTCAGGCAGCAAAATATGTTTCTAGCTGTTGAGATGGTAGCACTCATTTCAATTCATGGCATGTAAATCTATTTGAATAATATTTATCATCATATAAAGATTCATAGTTACCTCAGCTGGCTTTATGATCTTGATAATTATGACTGGAACTCAACTATGCTTATTAAATAAGAAGTTTATTAGATTTCTAGTGAATGCTCAGATACCATCATCATCATAGAAATATTATTATTTAGTTCTCAAAATTAAGCTTTATGAATAACACATCACATTTTGGTGTGTAGTATAGTACTCTAACTCCCCACATAAAACTTAACTTGATCGCCTGCATTTATTTTTAAGAAAGGGAAAGGTACAAATCACATCGGATTATGGTTAAAATTATAAAAAGTCCACATTGTATTTAATTTTCTATTGCTTCTATATAATGTACTGCCCGTGAATATGTATCATCAATCTGGGCTGACTATCTTGACCACTGGTCAACAACTATCTTGACCACTCCAACAACGTTTTGGAGTGGTGGAGGTGAGAAAGGCATGTATCACTGAAGTAAGAAGCTGGCTAGATAAGGACTTAGCAAGGACTATAAGGAAAAGTGCTTTTCAAGGGTCCTAAAGGGCAACAGAACTTAGGCCCCCCAGTGAAACATTAAACACGTATGTAACGAGCAGGCTTCCAATCATCTGAGAGCTAATGATGCTACCATGTATTTATAAGGTACATTTATCCCCATCTTTTCACTGAACCGTACACATTGTGGGCAGGGGTTCCTATTCTTGCCCCTTACTGTCCTGGGGTTTGTAGACATGAAAAAAGAAAGGCTTGCTTTTTTTTTTTTTTTTTTTTTTAAGACAGAGTCTCACTCTGTCACCCAGGCTGGAGAACAGTGGCATGACCTCGGCTTACTGCAACCTTCATCTCCTGGCTTCAAGTGATTCTCCTGCCTCAACCTCCCTAGTAGCTGGGATTATAGGCATGTGCCCCCACACCCAGCTAATTTTTGTATTTTTAGTAGAGATGGGGTTTCACCATGTTGGCCAGACTGGTCTCGAACTCCTGACCTCAAGTGATCCCCCAGCATTGGCCTCCCAAAGTGCTGGGATTACAGGTTGCAAGCCACCTGGCCCAGCCAAGGAAGGCCTTCTTAATCCAAAAAAAACCAAATAAGATTTGGCCAAAAGAAGAGTCACTTTGTCCTTGGACAAGTATGTTGGCAAAGACATACATATTTTTTAATTTGTTTTAACATGGTCTGGTTTAATACACATTGTATAGATGTTCTAGTCTATAAATTTCCCTCTGAGCCTTTTCACTTCAAGATATTCCGATGCCTCTTTCTTGTTTCCTCTCTTCTATCTTTCCCCCGATTGTGTTATAATCAAAGTCCAATCACCTCTAAAAATCATTCAGGCCTGTTTCTTTATGATCTAATCAGAGAGAAGAGGAAGTCTTAATTTTAGGTGAAAACTAACTAAATTTGTAGTCATCTGGGCATTCTTAGCACTGATTTAAACCAGCTACAGTTTATTCTGAAACGTTTTAAGTTTCTCACAGGTTTCCGCAAGAATTTCCCCAAATTATTATTTTATCATTTATCCTCCTTTTAGATCGATGTTTTTGACTTAATAAACCAACTTTTCTTAAAATTTGCTCTTGCAATGTACATGGATTTCATCAAATGAAGTGGAAAAGATTGTTGCTGAAGAACAAATAAGCTCTTGATTATAAATCATTGACTTTCTTAACTTTTTGACATAATAATATTTTCAGGGGAACAATTTTCTTCCCCCACATGCCTGTCATTGCTCAGAGAACTGCAACTCCCATCTTCTTCACTCACTCATCCACAACGCCGTCCACACACTCTCTGCATGATGAGTGTGTCACTTCAGTCAGAGGGAAGAGAGTGGGCAGGCTGTTGGGACTGCAAACCCGTGCTCAGATTCCCCAGACTACCTTCACCAGGAACGTGGCAGACATGGAGGCTGGTGACCCAACATCCATTTCCCTCTTGGTTCAAAAGATGGAAGGATACAGTTCATTGAAAATTGTTCAAATGCACAAATAATTACCACTGTATTACTGTTACCTACAGCATTCAATATAGTAACATGTTGTCCATGTTTACAGCCTCAGAGCAATAGGCTGACCTATTCTCTTGCTCTGAAAGCCTAGGTGTCTGGTAGGCTACAGCATCTAGCTGTGTCTAAACACATGCTATGATGTTCGCACAATGACAAAATCACCTAACAACACATTGTTAGAACCTATCCCACCACAGTTCAGCAATGCATGACTGCACTTCTACTGCCCCATGCACGTTTGCCACTTTATGGCTGTTTATTTTGTTGATGGAGAAAAATTAGTGCAAGTAAAATAGAGGGACCTGGAGGAGGTCTCTTATAAATTGCTTGTGATTATTAGCTGAGTATTCTTTCAAAATAGCCCATCCCACCACTCCCACTACTAATTTTATCTATTCCATGAATGATTAATTTTTAACAAAAATGAAAAATCCAGGATGGTTTAGGTAAGGAAAAAATTAAGAGTTTTCTTTAAAATGTTTATTTTTTATTCATGGCTGGGCGCTGTGGCTCAGGTCTGTAATCCCAGAACTTTGAGAGGCCGAGGCGGGTGGATCACCTGAGATCAGAAGTTCAAGACCAGCCTGGCCAATGTGGTGAAACCCTGTCTCTACTAAAAATACAAAAATTAGTCAGTCATGGTGACATTTGCCTGTAATCCCAGCTAACTCAGTAGGGTGAGGCAGGATAATCACTTGAACTCAGGAGGCGGAGGTTGCAGTGAGCCAAGATCACACCACTGCACAGCAGCCTGGGCAACAGAGAGAGACTCTCTCTCTAAAAAAAAAAAAAAAAAAAAAATTATTTTTTATTCACAATACTAGCATACACCTACATTTCAACTGATTATAGCATATGGGATAAGTTGAAATTTGATATTCCATAAACCTTTGGGTCTTTTATGTTAACAGCTCAAACTGGCTTCATTAAAAAAATGTATGGTATCAGCCAACAGATCATGGGTTCTCAGCATCTGAAGAAATTCAACGTTCTCTCATTTTTCACGGTTTTAACTTCTCATGACTTTAGTGCATGGATACACTTGTTCAGTTGTATCCCATGGCTTCTAACATCTGACTATGCTTCTTGAGATCAGTCTGAAAGCTGAGGCATGTTCATACTTGATCTTGAAACATGCCATATTAATACATTTATTCATAGAAGTATTAGTAATTGTGATATTATTCAGGAATCAAAAAACAAAGGGAAACACAGAGCTTGCTTGTTATCCCAAATTATGCTCTGGTTTAAGGAAATCTTTCCCCGAAATCATGTTACTTAATTTTAGCTAATTTAGATGACATTTACCATTCTCTTACCTAAGGCCAAGAAAACAGTTATATTTTAATTAGAACTTAGTGTCAAACATTTTTAAGTTTGATAAAAAAGCCACTTTTCTGGGCAATTTTGCAGGGCCTCATTTTGATTCCCTGTTACCTCAAAATGACTAAGCAAAGGAGAGCTGTATTGGGTATTTATCAAGAAAACTATAAATAATGTATTGGGAATAAATGCGTGTGCCACAAACCATAAACTTGTAAAGGCTTTCTGTTCTCCTGGTGTGAATAAGATAGGGACATCACAACTCGGAGCCATTAAATGAAAAGAATAGGGTTACTAAGCAAGATTATTAATACTTAATAATTAATACTTAATAATTAATAAATACTTTAAAAAAGATTAGGTAAGATTTAATTTAATAGATCAGACCCTCCTTTACAGTCTGTCTTCACACAAAATCACAAAGTCTTACGTGACTCAAATTTCTTTTGAAGTCATCAGAGGTTGCCATTCTGGAACTCATAAGCGGTGACAGCTGATAGCCTCACAGTCATGAAGGAGGTAGAAAAGTTAACATGAAATTCCCAAAGCTCAGCACTCGAGCCTTTTCAGAAGCTGGATGGAAATCGCTGTTCACAGCTCCACAGCCCCTGACAGCATCATTCTATGAGAACAAGGTCAAGTGGAAGGTGTAGCGGAACACGAATTTGTAGTCTGAGATCTCAAGGAAATGAAGCAATCTATTTGGAAAAGCAAGGACGATAGTTGGGAACCATTAGCAACACTACAGACAGAATAGGCAGATACTCCGTTGCCCAACTCAAAAGGGAATTCATATTCTCCAAATCCTGACCTCTAGCTAGCTGTTGTTCTTGTAATTTGTAAATCGGTGTCCTCTTTTCTATACCCAAAGCCAGCATCTTATTTTGATACATCATACTCCCTTTTGGATGACTGCAGTAACTTGTCAACTAATTTTGTGCTGTCCTTCTCAGTTCTCTCAAATGTATTCACATACCTGCCGGAGGAATATTTCCAAAGAAAAACAAAACCCTGCCCATCCCCTGTTTAAACCCCTCTCATGGTTCCCCCTTATTTCAGGACAGTTTATGCTCCCTGGTCCCTAACACAGCTCAGGGAGTCTTTTCTCATCTGCCCACTTCCCTCCTTCCCCACCTCTCTCCACCCACCTTATTGTCACCCTCTACATAGAAATCCACAGGCACACCTATAAGGAAACATAGAGTTATGCGTGATTTTGAATCTTCCTGGAAACTTTCTCTGCTTAGAAAATTTTTTTACTTTCTAGGGTCTTTCAATCAGAAGGTCTCAGGAATGTTTAATGAGAGTAATGCATTTACAGTTAGTATAATGCTGCATTTAGGTTATGTTTATTGGAAAAATGAATTCTCAACTTTCTCAAATATTCCTCACCTGCTCTGTGCTATTGCCTACTACAAGCACATATATCTTAAGGTCCAGGTTGACACATTTTGCTTTCCTGCTGGACATTTTCTGGTGACTGCATTTCCCTAGGATTCTTCCCCAGCAACTGAGACTGATGGAAACAAGTTTCTCAGTTTCAAATGAAGATTCAGAATAATGACTATCATCCTGTGTGTTTATTAGAACCCGGTGAATCGAGATGATTTCTAAAGAGAGAGTGCAATAGAAAAATACAGAATTTAGAAGAAAAGTACCTAAGTTCAAGATTCATTATTTATATATGAAATTGTACCCTTGGGCAAGTAATTTCAATTCTACAATGCTCAGGTTTGTCTAGGTGTAAAATAAGAAATAGTATCAGCTCTCGATATCCTGTAAGATTTTGGTGAGGATAAAACAAACAAAACACATGAAAAGTTCTTTTCCGCCCTAAAACACTGTAATGTTAGTTACAGGCATAAGTTGGAGATACTGTGGGTTCAGTTACAGATCACTGCAATAAAGCAGATATCACAATAAAGCAAGTCACACAAAGCTGAGGTTTCTCAGTGCACACAAAAAGTATGCTTGCACTATACTGTAGTTTGTTAAGTATGCAATAGTCTTATGTCTAAAACGAGAATGGACATGTCTTAATTAAAAAATACTTCATTGCTAAAAAATGTTAACTCTCATCTGAACCTTCAAGTCATAACCTTTTTTGCTAGTGGCAGGTCTTGCGTCGATGCTGATGGCTGCAGACTGTTCAGGGTGATGGCTGCTGAAAGCTGGGGTGGATGTGGCAATGTCTTAAAATAAGACAACAATGAAGTTTGCCGCACTGATGGACTCTTCATTTCATAAAAGATTTCTCTGTAGCATGTCATTCTGTCTGACAGCAGCAGAACCTTCAAAACTGGAGTCAGTCCTCTCAAACCCTGTGGCTGCTTGATCATCTAAGTTTATTTCATGTCTGAAATCCTGTGTTATCATTTCAACAATGTTCACAGCACTTTCATCAGGAGTAGGTTTCATCTTAAGAAACCACTTTGTTCTTCCATAAGAAGCAACTCCTCATCCGTTCATATTTTATTATGAGATTGCAGAAATTGAGTCATGTCTTCAGCCTCCACTTCTAATTCTACTGTTCTTGCTATTTTCACCTCATCTTCAGTTACCTGCTCCACTGAAGTCTTGAATCCCTTAAAGTCATCCATGAGGGTTAGAATCGACTTCTTCCAACTCCTATTAATCTTCATATTTTGACCTCCACTCATGAATCATGAAGTTCTTAATGGCATCTAGAATGGTGAATCGTTTCCAGAAAGTTTTCAGTTTACTTTCCCCAGATCCATCAGAGAAATGTAATGATCTTTAGTGATCTATGAGAGCTATAGCATCATGAAATTTTTTTAAAATAGTAAGTCTTGAAAGTCAAAATTACTCATTGATCCATGGACTGCAGAATTTAGGTGTTGTTTTAGCAGGCATGAAGACTACATTCACTTCCCTATACATTTCCACCAGAGTTCCTGGGTGACCAGGTGCACTGGCATTGAGAAGTAATATTGTGAAAGGAATGTTTTTTCCCGAGCAGTGGGTCTCAACAGTGACCTTAAAATATCCAGTAAACCGTGCTGTAAACAGGTGTGCTGTCATCTAGGCTTTGTTGTTCCATTTATAGAGCACAGGCACAGTAAACTTAGCATAATCTTAAGGGACCTAGGATTTTCAAAATGGTAAATGAGTATTGTCTTCAACTTAAAGTCACCCACTGCATTACCCCTAACAAGAGAGTCAGCCTGTTCTTTGAAGCATTAAAGCCAGGTATTGACTTCTCTCTAGCTAAGAAAGTCCTAGATAGCATCTTGTTCCAATAGACGGCTGTGTCATCTACACTGAAAATCTGTAGTTTACTGTGGCCACCTTCATCATTGACCGTAGCTAGGTCTTCTACATAACTTGAGGCAGCTTCTCCATCAGCACTCACCCTGAACTTGAACTGTGATGGAGATGGCTTCTTTCCTTAAACCTCATGAATCTACCTCTGCCAGCTGAACAACTTTTCTTGTGCAGCTTCCTCACCTCTCTCAGCCTTCATAGAATTGAAGAGGGTACAGGTCTTTGATCTGGTTTGGCTGTGTCCCCACCCAAATCTCATCTTGAATTGTAACTCCTACAATTTCCAAGTGTTGTGGGAGGAACCTGGTTGGGGGTTGTTGAATCATGGGGGTAGGTCTTTCCCATGATATTCTCTTGAAAGTGAATGAGCCTCAAAGATTGGATGGTTTTATAAGGGGAACTTTCCCTGCACAAGCTCTCTTCTCGTCGGGCACCATGTGAGATGTGCCTTCACCTTCTGCCATGATTATGAGGCCTCCCCAGCCACGTGGAACTGTAAGTGCATTCAACCTCTTTCTTTTTTAAATTGCCTAGTCTCAGGTATATCTTTATCAGCAACGTGAGAACAGACTAATACAGCCTTCCTCTGGATTAGGTTTTTGGCTTAAGGAAATGTAGCTGGTTTCAACATCTGTCTGGACTACTAAAATTTCCTTCATATCAGCAATAAAGCTGTTTTTCTTTCTAATCATTTTTGTCTACACTGGAGTAGCACTTTTAATTTCCTTCAAGGAATTTTCCTTTGCATTCTCCACTTAGCTAAATGTTTTCCACAAGAGGCCTAGCATTTGGTCTATATTGGCTTTCAACATGCCTTCCTCACTGAGCTCAATCATCTCTAGCTTTGATTTAAGTGAGAGACGTGCCATTCCTCCTTTCACTTGAACACTTAGAGCCCATCATAGGACTAATTGGCCCAATTTTCATGTTATGTTGTCTGAGGAAATAGGGAGGCCCAAGGAGAGGGAGAGAGATGTGGGGATGGTTGGTCACTGGAGCAGTCAGAACACACACAATATTTACCAATTTCATTTACCATCTCATATGGGTGTGGTTCATGGTATTCTAAAACTATTATAATTGTAACACTAAAGATCACTGATCATACCCTAAAATTATTAGAATAAATTTCATTCTTTTAAAAAAATTATTCTGTTTTGTATTGCTCAGGCTGGATGCAGTGGCGCGATGTCAGCTCACTGCAACCTCTGCCTCCCAGGTTCAAGGGATTCTCCTGCCTCAGCCTCCCAAGTAGCTTGGATTACAGGTGCCTGCCAACACGCCCACCCAGTTTTGGGACTTTTAATAGAGACGGGGTTTTTCCATATTGGCCAGGCTGGTCTCGAACTCCTGACCTCAGGTGATCCACCCGCCATATACTTTTGAAAGACAAAGTCTGAACTATTAACTGAAAACAAAGATCCCCAATCACTCTAACAGATTAATAATAATGCAAAGGTTTAAAACATTGTGAGAATTTCCAAAATGTGATACTGAGACATGAAGTGGGCACATACTGTTGGAAAAATGGTGCTGCTGATAGACTTGCCGCTCAATACCGGGTTTCCACAAACCTTCAATTTGTAAAAAATACAATACCAGAGAAGGGCAATGAAGTGACATGCAATAAAGTGAGGTGCGCCTGTACTGTTTTCATTTTCATCAAGCCAAACCATAAGAATCTTGCACAACATCTGTATTATTAGAGTAGCATGAATAATGCTTTTTATTGTAATTTTGTTTTTACTTCCAAAAAGAGAAATAATTTTTTTTTCTGATTATGAACTAAACAGGTCCTCCTGTCTAGTAATAGAACATCAAATCATCACCATAGAGATTCAACTTCTCTTTTTAGGAATTAAAAATAGTCACAATCCACTTATCAATTACACAGTTAATAACTTGATGCCAGAAGGATTTTGACAAAACACAGTACCCTTCATTCTCTTTTACCTTAGAAATGATTTACATTTCAGGTTAAAGAAATTCTGACACTCAACTAAAAATACCTGCAGACAGATATCTGTAACCCATATATGAATTGACAGCATTTTAAAAATAGAAAAGTTGGTATTTCTTCATTTTTCAAAGATTTAATGTTAAGAAGGAATGGTTACTAGAATTAATATTTTTCCAGGGACACTAATAATTTGATTATAATTGAAAATTAAAAAATAATTTTAGAAAGAATTGAAATACACATAGCATTCTCATAAAAATAGAAATTATAATTATAATGTTGATTTAGTTTTTGACAGAGGTAAAAACTATTAAATGCATTAGATACATATTATTGAAAATATTTGAAGGGGTAGGTCATAGTTTCTCTTTCCAAACATAAAATATAATATTAGGTTGGTGCAAAAGATTTTTACCATTAAAAGCAATAGCAAAACCTGCGATTACTTTTGCACCAAACCAATGTGTACTGTAAAGCCAAATCCTGTAATCTCTTTAAATTTGACTTAACATTTGCGACCTACATCCACTCATGCATTGAAAAGGCAGCTCCGTGGAGTCAACATCTGTACATGAAGCCCGTGAAGACGCTGCCTCCATGGGACCAGAACAAGTTAAAGAATTCAGGTTGCTGGTTTCTTTCAATAAAGTTGTGGGAAGTAAGTTTCACTATATGTAGAACATTCTGAGGAATTGTAGTTTTGGTATCATTTAGTATTATTTGGATATTAAGAACAGGACTTATAGGAGTCTTCAAAAATAATCATAATACATTTATGAATGTAATGAAATAATTGTGTTATACTGTTGCTATAGCTATGCAGATTATCTGAGAGATACCTGAGTTATTTATGTTTCTACAAACATAAGTTACACTACTGCTATATTCAATGAAAGTATACATTAGTAAATTTTCCTATACTCTGTGTTACTAAGAGTGTACTGTAGTTACAGGAACTGTGGCATCTCTATAGTGTGTATTTAAAAAATACTCAAGCAAACTTCAGTTATAAGGCAATTATGATCCAAGCAAAGTTCAATTATAAAATAGGTAATGATAATATAGAAGGCACAATTAGGACAAAATATTCCTGTCTCTGTACTGTCAGATAGCCTGGAATTACAATCAGTAACCTGAACTTCATTTAGTGTGAAGGCAGAGTCTCCAAAATCCAATTCAAACAAAAAAGGTTAAAGTGACATGTTATTCCATTATCACTCATTGCTATATTGATACAGACTAGTTGATCAGTGTCCTACCACAAACACACACACAAAGAGAGAGACTCACTCCTCATGCAGTGAGACAGTGGAAATAGGGAAACAGATGTCTTAAGAGGAAAAACCCAAATGGGACATACGAGATAGGCTTTTTAAAAAACCCTACATAGGCCTGCACAAAGAAATGGATGTAATTCTAGACAAATCCCACCATGTTGTATAAATGGAGGTGAAAGATAAGGAATTACCCCTACCCCTAAAAACAACTGAGTTGAAATTAAAAGTATGATTATATTATGGATTGTCTAACTTCACAAGTATTATCAACTTACTAATTTATATTAATGAATAGCTTTCAATCTAGATATGATTTCAAATAAGCAATACATATTTGACTATTCAGTTATTGAAATGATTTTCATGCATCTACTGTGTGTTAAACTTTGTATTAAATGTTAGAAATCAAACACGAGTGAGATTCAGGACTATATTCTATTATTCTATAATTTAATGGAGGACATAAAGAGCAGATATTTGACAAAGAAATGCATAACATACTAAGGGAGTTCATTTAATGGCAAGACCAATTATAATTTTGTTTCCAACTTGGTATGAACTATGCTTACCAACTGTGAGAGAGGGGAGTTAAGATACTATTCATGTATTCTCAAATTAGTCAATTCCAAGAATTTGTTGAGTGTTACTCTTTTCAAATCAGGTGGGTGGTTGGCTCAATCAGCGCTGGCAGGTTACATTCCCATCTTACTGTTCTCACCACCACCCACTGCAGTGAAAAACACTTTTATGACAGAAATTTACCTGTTTTAAAAGTACTTTTGTTCTCAGAACTGAGAGATTTTATTGTTAAATAAAAGTGACAGGGGAAGCAACATAAAGTATCAAAGATGGTTCTGATCAAGTCATGTAACAGTGCCTATGAGAAAGATTTGCCATTCTACTCTATCCATCCTATTAGTCCCCCTAATATTTCCTTCTTAAGGCTTTGAAATCTCCCCATAGAACTCCTTATGTTACTTCGAGAATTTTAATAGTCATACGGCAAATAAGCAGAGAGCAGCTCACAATTAATGTACTAATGCCCTTTTCTTTTAATAAAAATTATACTCTTTCATTATCCTATTAACAAATGATTCTTTAGGGAGCATTTCTTTAATGTTCACAGTGCTGGCACCCTAGTTGGCACTCAACTATCTTAAATTTTTAATGAATTCAGAATTAGTCTGGGCATCTCTCAAAACTTAGAGTCTCTGAGTGCATGAGTGGACTCTTTATGTTATCAGATTTATTGTTTTGAAAGCAAAGAAGACTAGGAATATAAGCAAAAGAGGAAACAAGCAGGTAGTTTGAGAGTGTAGAAAACTCCATGGCACACAAGCACATTGTAAGGTAACACCTTTTTCACCAATGGAGAGAAAAGAGAGGAAGAGATGGAGGAGCAAAACGACTCGCTGTTACCATACTAGCAGTGTCAGCACTACAAAATACAACATTTAAAAATGTGTTAAGATGTTTTTCTGTATTTATCAACAGATAAACCCACAGCCAGCCCAAATCAGGTACTGGAGATTAAAACTAAATCCCTGGACAAAGATTAGCATCTCAAGGAGAGGCTGTACAACATTAGAGAAAAATGTGGTTGAGCAGGTTGAAAAGGACACCTTCACAGACACATCTGGGAGAATGCTAGCAGCTCTTCAAATACTTCTCCTTAGTAGCATTTATCTCCATCTTAACTACATCACTGATGCATTAATTATAGGACATTTTTCTCTCTGGTTAGAATGTAAGTTCCTTGAGAGAACAGACCTTTTTTGTCTGAATTCCAGTGACTAGTCTACTGCCATGCAGGCTCACAGTTCGTATTTGTGGAATGAAATTGCTGAAGAATTAATTATACATGAAGGAAATTCAAGCGTAAATTGAGCCATTAATACAAATATGAAAATACAAGGAAATATGAACTTTAGAAAGCAAATAATATGCCACAGAGGTTCCCAATTGCATACTTCACTGGACTCACTTCATTTAGGGACCTCATTTTCTAAGGTCCCCCAGCTGTCCAGTGCTCAGGTCATCACTGACATGGGCTCAGAAAATACAGATACATCCCCAAGGCAGAGCCAGTGTTTGTTTTATTTTTGTTTTAATGTAAGCACCACTTACCTTTTTCACCTATGGGTAGACTCTCTCATTCCATGATATTAGAAAATGTTTCAAATGAAAATGCCCCTGGTTGTAATATAATGACTAAAATTACATTAAGATATCAATATAAAGAGTATCAAAAACTTTCCTAAAAATCAGTTTTAATAAAAGAGTTGAGAACATGAGAATGCCCTTAAGGAAAGGGTAGTAGAAAGAAAAATCAAATATACATTTGAAGTTCATCAAAATAGATTTGGAGTTGGCACAGATTAGAATTTTATTATTTTTTTAAAAATTGGGCCAGAAACGAGCACCTACTTTACGCTAGGCACTGTGCTTCCCTATGAAAGGAAGCATGGTTTCTGCTTCAAGTGGGTGAGTGGAGGGCCTACAGGTGCTTAGAGAATAATTTCTTTTTTTTTTTTTTTTTTTTTCTGAGACGGAGTCTCGCTCCGTCACCAGGCTGGAGTGCAGTGGCGCGATCTCGGCTCACTGCAAGCTCCGCTTCCCAGGTTCAAGCAATTCTCCTGCCTCAGCCTCCTGAGTAGCTGGGATTACAGGCACACGCCACCACGCCCAGCTAATTTTTCTATTTTTAGTAGAGACGGGGTTTCACCATGTTGGTCAGGCTGGTCTCGATCTCGTGACCTCGTGATCCACCCGCCTCAGCCTCCCAAAGTGCTGGGATTACAGGCATGAGTCACTGCGCCCGGCCAATAATTTCTAAACAATAGTAATGCAAATAGAGTATGCACAGCGTGGACATTCCAGCTTCCTAAACGCAGGAGCACTAACGCTCCTCTGGCTTGAGAGAGAGTCATCAGAATGCAAAGATAGAAAGAGATAGACAAATTAGGGGATGCAAGGGATGCAATCCAGTACAGGCTCCAATTTCTAACCCTGTCCCACATCAATGAGGACCTTTAGAGAGGGCACAATATTATCCACAGTCTCATAATTCAACAGGGAATTGGGCAAAGAAACAAAAATAGTGACTATGGACTAAATTGATTCTGAACCCATATTATGATTCAGTAAGATAAATGTCCCTGAAAGTTTCTGAAGATTCTTAGGGCACCCTGATGACCAAAGGGGTGAGAGCTAGGGTCATCACGTGACCTCATTATCCTTATTATCTCTCAGCAGTTACCGAGTTAATGGGGAGCTAGAAAAAATTGTTTTTCTCAATCACTGGAAAACAGTAAATGAATAACAGATAGCTAGTTTTAAAATTTACTGGATATTTTGTCAATTTTCTAAGCTACTTGTTATATCTTTCTAATCCTTAAGATAATTGCATTTATTAGAAAAAATTAAATTGGCTTAGTAAAATTTTAGTCAAAATTTTGTGTATTTGTTTAGGAAATGAACAAAGAGATTACAATCTGGATCCTGATAGTTCACTGGTAAAAGATAAGATTATACCAACAAATAGATAACTTACACGAAACGGGTAAATTCCAAGAAAGACACAACCTACCAGAACTCACTGAAGACGACATATCAAATCTGAATAGACCCATAACAAGTAAAGACATTGCGTTACTAATTTTAAAACTGCCAAGAAGAAAAGTCCAGGTCCAGGGGATACCTTGGTAAGTTCAACCAAATATTTGATTCGTTTTCAACAGGGTAACAAGATGATTCAATGGGGAAAAATAATCCCCTCAATAAACGGCATATGCAAAAGAATGAAGCTGAGTTCCTACATCACATTACATATAAAAATTAAGTCAAAATGGATAAGAGGCCTAATGCAAGGGATACAACTATAACAGTCTCAGAAGAAAATTTAGGAGTAAACCTTTGTGACCTTGGGTTTGGAAAAGGTACTTAGATCTGGCACCAAAAACATGAGCGAACAAAGACAACATATACACACTGAACTACAACTTTTGTTCTTCAAAGAACATCATCACTACAGTAAAATGACAACCCACCAAAAGGAAGGAAATAAATGCAAATCACATATGTCATAAAAAACCTCTGTCCAGAATATATAAAGAACATTTACAACTTAACAAGGAGAAGACAAATAACCCAATTAAAAAATGGGCAAAGAATCTGAATAGACATTTTTCCAAGGAAGTTATACAAATGGCCCAATAAACTCTTGAAAAGAAGATCAGCATCATTAGTCGTTAGGGAAATATAAATCAAAATTATGAGATGTCCCTTCACACCTACAAATATTGCTAAAATTTAAAACAAACAAGAAAAGAATAACGGGTGCTGTCAAGAACATAGGTAAATTGTAAATCTCATTCATTATTGGCAGAAAGGGAAATTGGTACAGCCACTTTTAAAGAGTGGCATACCTTAAAATAGTGTTACCATATCTCCAGCAACTTCCCTTCTAGGTATATATCCAAAAGAAAAGAAAATGTATGTCCATATAAAAACTCGTACATGATCAGTAACAGCAGCATTTTTCTAATAGCAAGGAAGTAGAAACAACCCAGATGCCCATCAATTGATGAATACATAAACAAAATGCAGTATATTCATACAATGGAATATTATTTGGCAATAAAAAGGAATGAGGTACCACAAGTCGCAAATATGGATGAACTTTTAAACGTCATAAGCGAAAGCAGGCAGTCACAGAAGACCACGTATTACATGTTTCCATTTAAATAAATCTCCCAATTAGGCAAATTCATAGAGACAAAGTCAATTTGTGGTAGCCAGGTACTCGGGGAAGAGGGAAGTGAGCAGGGGCATGGGGTGTGACTGCTACTGTGTACAGGCTTTCCTTTTGGGAATTATGGCAGTGTTCTAAAATTTGATGGTGTTGATGATTACACAACTCTATGAATACACTACTAAACTGTACACGTAAAGATGGTCAATTTAATGTTAGGAAAATTAAGTCAATCAACTGTTATTTTTTTGAAAGGCAGATAAGGTGGTATCTTAGATTCCATAAGCCAGCCTAAAAGTGCTGAGGAACCACGCAGTATTTGTGTGTGTGTGTGTGTCTGTGTACAGGTGTGTGTGTGTGTATCAGATCATTATAAGGAAGGATGTATGTCTAGAGAAGTCGTGTTAGGCTTCACATACTTTTAATACATTGTTACCCTAATGTTATAAAAACTTATAGTGGATTTATATTTTAGACACAAGTAACATATAGTTGGCCAGTTGAAGTTTATTTCTGGAAAACTTCTGTTTACATTTTATTTTAAAATAGTTATCCCTCAATCAGCATGCCCTACATTTTCCTAGTGGCAGAAAGTAGTGACCAGAATAAAAAAGCAATTAAATTAGGCAATAACATTACTGAAGAGGTCACTGGTTCTGCTTACATTTCACTTGTTTTGCCTATATATATTATCCATTGAACTAAATACAGAGAAGCCACATTTTCTCTTAATATTCTCTTATGGTCTAGTGATTTTCTTTCTTTTTTACATATGGAAAATTACAAAAGCTCTAGCTACACAACGACATCAAATATACAAGTGTCTAATTGCAATACACCGGGATATTTTGACTAAAGAGCCGTGATAACTTTGCAATGATGTAGGACGATGTTTCAGACAAAATATGAAGCCAAAAAAGGCAGAATATAATCTGAACTGACATTTCCTATCTAGAATGACAGAAATGTAAATGTGTTTTTCTCTAGTGCTGAAGGTTTGGAAAATGCTAGACCCTAAGATTTACCATGGAATTTGATGATTCATAGTGAACATGAAGAGACAGACGCCACAGTCTGAGTTCTATTTGGTAATTCGTGGCCACAAAAGTGCACCCCTCATTGCTTTCCAGCTATTTACACTTGCCAGTATAATACAAGATTCTTAATTAGCAACCATGTGGCTTCACTTTAAATAGCCTTGCTAGCTCCCTTGGGACCTCTTGAAATATCATTCATATTAGTAGAAATACCATCCCATTTTGTTACAGATTTATTTATTTCTCTTGCTATCCTTTTTTTTTTTTTCTGTTAAGGCATATTACTGTTACATGATTATAAGCATTTTTTAAAGTTATGGGCAGGGCCATGATCTAACTATACTTTGTAGTTACATGACATCTAAAAATGTGCTATCTGATTAAAGGATGCATTTTAGTAATAAAGATGATAGCTATTTACATCCGATAACTGCCTACAAAAAGACAGAAATGAGCTGAAAAATGGAAGAAGATGGAATAAATACAGTTTACTAATAGAGCTTATACTTCTCCCATTTGGTTTAAAGAGGCTTTTAAACACTTAAGCTGAGATTTACTATGAAAATCAGACTTACAAACATCACCATCAACACAGAATTATTAAAATGTAGAAAGTGTGGATATGTCTAGGATTGCGATCCCATTATGCAGGGACCTACGACCTACTAGAAATGCTTTGCAATTCTTACTGAACTATTTTTTCATGTAAATGAACATCACAAGGACAGGTGAACTCTCTGCAGGCACCGATCGTCTGGTTTTCTAAAAGTATACAGGGCAGACAGGGTATTCACCTTGATTGGAAACAGAGAATCCAGGTATATTTGAATCTTCTGCCTCCACCATATTGTGTAGCACTATGTTTTGTTTAATTTTATCAGTAGAAAGAAAAAGGCCAGACAAATGCCGTGACTCAATCCTGTAATCCCAGCATGTTGGGAGGCTGAGGTGGGCGGACCACTTGGGCCCAGGAATTCAAAACTAGCTTGGGCAACAAAGTGAGAGCCGATTCTACAAAAATTACAAATATTAGCCGGGCATGGTGGCACATGCCTGTAGTTCAAGCTAGTTGGGAGGCTGAGGTGGGAGGATCCATTGAGCCCAGGAGGTCAAGGCTGTAGTAAGCTGTGATTGGGCCACTGCACTCCAGCCTGGGCAACAGAAAGAGATTCTGTCTCAAAGAAAAGAAAAAGGTCATACAAGTTTACCACTAATAGGCCAGGTGCAGTGGCTCACTCCTGTAATCCAGCACTTTGGGAGGCAGAGGCGGGCAGATCACCTGAGGTCAGGAGTTTGAGACCAGATTGCCAACATGGCGAAACCCCGGCTCTACTAAAAATACCAAAAATTAGCCTGGCATGTTGGCGAGCGCCTATAGTCCCAGCTACTCGGGAGGCTGAGGCAGGAGAATCACTGAACCTGGGAGGCGGAAGTTGCAGTGAGCTGATATTGCGTCATTGCGCTCCAGCGTGGGTGACAGAGTGAGTCTAATGAAAAAATAAAAAATAAAAAAATGAAAAAAAAGTTTACCACTAACAGTTGAAGCAATAAATTTTGTTTTGACGAAGTAACATTTATAGTCGGTGATTATTATAAAAAATTTTGTTTTAAATCATTCACAATTGAGTTCCCATCCTATTGTAAGTCTACTGCTAATCTATTAATTGCATGCATTATTATGTTGGTCTTATGATACTACCTAGTAAATAAATATACATATGTGGGTCATACTCCATAAGTCTGAAATACACAGTTTAAGGGGCTAATAAGGTATATGTAACTAAGAAATACACTAGTATCATCATTATCTGCTGTTTTATGTTTTAATAACTTCTATTTCTGATATTTCAAAGTGATATAAACGAGCAAGTTCTATACAAAGCTACCTCATAGATTCTAAAATCACTGGCCTTTCAAACATGTTTATGGGTTCTTTTTAAAAAATAAACATTCGGATGCTGACGAAGTAGAAAATTAGTCTTCTGGAGACATATTATGATGGAGCCTTAAGATGGATGAAAAGTATAAACTGCATCATCCAGGGCTGGATTTCCTGTGCACACTGCAGAAACGTCCTTGATGTTACTGATGTCTGCCTCACGCTTAGCTCTCAGAGCCGAAGCTCCATCAGGACAGATTGGAACTGCCACCCAGAGGCATTTCACAATTTGAACCAAAAGGTTTTCAGGCTTGCGTTCTAGCTAATTCTGTCGCTTCTAATTCCAGCCAGACTTAAACTCTTATCTTTGGATGCCAGGCCTACAGATAGGGCTATCACAGTAGCCCCAATTCCCAGAAAATACGCAACTCCATGACCCAGGTGAGATTAAATCCTTCCAGATAGCCTAAATAAATGGTCTATAACTTGTTCCTGTCACTCCCACTAATGCCTTTGTACTGTGAAACAGACTAGGAAAGGTGTAAATATCTTCAAATTATTAGCTGCACTTCCTCTTCCTTGCCTCTACCAGGAACTCTAGCATCACGCTCCTCATGGGGCAAAGGAAACCCAGAGGCGGCAGTTCCTGCACTTTCTTCTCCTGTAGTTATTAACCAATTTGCAGATCTCCGTGTATTACTGGTAATAGAGGCACACTCATATCTTTTCTCTTTAACACCTTGCCAGTAAAATTCTCCCGCACTAACCTGTCTGCCCCTCTCTCTCTAAGAAAGATACAGACCCAATTATACAATTTAGCCCATTACTTTGGTTCAAACAGATTTCACCTCAAAACAGATGTACTTGAATGTAAAAGGACCTTCTTGTCAGTGCGTGGGGTAGCTGTGCTCTCCTGTACCCCCTAAACATTTATGTGAAGTAGTCACATCTGAAGAACACACACATATATAATGGGAAGTATCTCTTAAGCAGCACCGCAGGCATTTGCTTTAAACCCCCCGTAACTCATAACGGCTTGACTGTGCATCCATGCTTCTCAGCAGCTAGGGGTTCCCTGAAAGCAGGGACAAAGCCGTGGTCTTCCTTGTTTCCTCTGCACCTCACCTCGTGCTGAGCACATGCAGACTCAGAATAGATGTTCACTGAATAAAAGAAAGGATGGACACATGAATACATTAAATGAACCTCAAACGTTATCTACTATGCTCTGTGCAGAATCAGTCAGAAGACAAGGTGTCTCGGGAATGCAAAACGGGACAAAGAAAACCCAGCTCAAGCAAGATAAGCACTGGGCAGTGGTTCCATTTGTCTGAGCGAGGCAGCACGTCGAGATGAGACGAAAACACAGACACTGACTGAGTAGGTAGAGCAAGGGGTGGAAATCAAGAACCAACAAGCAGCCCAGTGCCCATCTGTGAGCTGGGGCTGCAGGAAGAAAAGTTGGAAAGGTGGCTGGGTGTGGTGGTTCATGCCTATAAGTCCAACACGTTGGGAGCCTGAGGTGGGAGGACTGCATGAGCCCAGGAGTTCAAGACAAGCCTGGGCAACAAAGCGAGAGCCCATCTCTACTAAAAAAGTGAGCCGGGTGTGGTGGCACGCATCTGTGGTCTCAGCGACATGGGAGGCTGAGGCAGGAGGATTGCTTGGGCCCAGGAGGTTGGGGCTGCAGGCAGCTGTGTTTGTGCCACTGCACTCCAGCCTGGGTGACAGAGGAAGACCCTGTCTTAGGAAATAAACAAATAAAGTAATTAATTAATTAATTAATTTAATTTAATTTGGAAAGGCAAGGCTATGTTGGGAGGGCCCTGACATAGTGAGAGGAAGTATCATTATTTGAAGGACTTTGAATGTTTCTCATGTGACTGGAAAGACTATTCATATTCTTACCACAGCAAGATCTGAATTTGTGAATTGTCAAGCTCTCTCGGTAACATTGTTTCATTTTCCATTATTAGTTTTAAGTCACTTTAAAACAAATTGTGGTAAAATTCAACTCCTGTCCCACGACTTAGTTTGCCCACATTTAAAACTATTCCTGAAATAAACTATGTAAATTTAGGAGGGAAATTTTAATCTGTTAAATGTATTTAGACATTTCCTATTCAGAGAAACATTATGAAGCCTTCTATTTTGTGTATAGTCTAGATTTTTAACTATGAATATGTGTGTGTATTCATGCAAATAGTATTGATGGAGATGTATAGATAGATAGATGATAGGTAGATAGATGCCAGATGGGTACATGGACAGTCACACAGATGGAGAGATGGTAGGTGGACAGACTGACACTATGAAGAAAAACAAAGAAGGCTGAAGATGGCTGGGGTGAAGCCATCTTTCTACTGGGTCTTCAGGGGAAGGCTTTTCGACAAGGTGGCTTTAGAATTACTACAAGTGAATTCTATCCATACAGGAATTTTGACTTTTCTGGAGTTAGAGATGATCAAATATATTTTGAAAGAAATAAGGTCCTGGTCACAAATATGCCACTACAGAGATAGGTTAGTCCTCACGAGGCCTACACCTCCCCGACTCTAAAAATGAACAAGATGAGCAGATTGTGGAACTCTGGGTTTCATTCTTATTGCCCTTTGAGGGGAAGGTGCTTAGAGGTAAATGTTGGCTTGGAGCTGACTAGAATGAACTGGTTAGCTTTGAATTTGGTATGCAGCACACCATATATGTTGAGAGGTTATTTAAATGTTTTTATAGTTTACATGGAGAGATTAATTATTTTATTTTTATGTAAAAATTGCTGAGATTTCAGCAGTTACGATCGCTGACCTATTAATTTAAGTAATAATGTAATGAATTTTATATTTTTACATCTGCAGAATAACTCACAATCCTGTGCAATGTTTCTGATACCTGCCTAAATATCTGTATTTACTCATTTTGCATTTCTTTTCAAAGGCTCTCATGATTTCAGGAGGTATACTGATGCAAACTTAATATCCAGAAAGAATTCTGGTGCAGGAATGGTTTGGTATCAAGAACGTGGGCTCCAGAGGTGGACAGGTGTGTGTCTCCAGGCTACCTTGTATCCTGCATAGCTTTGAGATCTTGGACAATTTATTTCTCTCAGAGGGCCACAGTTTCCTCATCTGTAAAATAAGGACAGCGATACTAAGTTCAGAGTGTCATCGAGAGGATAAAGTTAAAGAAGATCCTGGACACACACCCACAGTGCCTAACAGCATTCCATCTGCAGAAGAGGTCTTGGTTATTTGATGGGATTGAGTGCACAGAGTGAAAAATGTGTCCATACAGGGAACGTACTTACTCCTTTGGAGCACTTATTTCATATGTGGATCAGACAAGTTAGCAAGATGGTAGGTATGCTGCCAACTATAACGACAGAGATATCTACACATGTGTAGATTGTAAGATTGGTGCTTCTGGAGCATTAATAACAGATCAGAACCCGAGGATTTGTTTTACCACAGATTAGGATGCACCCCAAACACCTTCTAGAATGTCCAGGCTGCTTCTCACTCTGTTCCCTAAACTCTAAGAATTAGCTATAAATTAGCTATTAATCCTCCATTCACATCCAATTTTGTGTAGTTTTAAAAGTACAAGCATATAAAAATAGATAAGCCAACCTGTTCCATTAGCCCTTTAATCAATATTTTAGAGAAGATGAAAATTTGACTCACATTGTATGTTTCACTTACAAAGCACTCCTATTTCAAGGACTAACCGTACTATAGCTGGTGATATGGTTTGGCTGTGCCTCTACCCAAATCTCATCCTGAATTGTAGCTCCCATAATTCCCACATGTTGTGGGAGGCACCTGGCAGAAGATAACTGAATCATGGGGGTGGTTTATCCCACACTGTTCCCCTGGTAGTGAATAAGTCTCACACGATCTGATGGTTGTATAAGGGGTTTCCCCTTTCGCTTGGTTCTCATTCTCTTTTGCCTGCCGCCATGTAAGATGTGCCTTTGCCTTTCACCTTCTGCCATGATTGGGAGGCCTCCCAGCCATGCAGAACTATGAGTCCATTTAACCTCTTTTTTTTTTATAAATTGCCCAGTCTTGGGTATGTCTTTATCAGAGTGTGAGAATGGACTCATACAGCTGGAATTTTTTTTTTTTTTTTTTTTTTTTTTTTTTTGAGATGGAGTCTCGTTTTGCTCTGTCACCCAGGCTGGAGTGCACTGGCAGGATCTTGGCTCAGTGCAACCTCTGCCTCCCGGGTTCAAGCCATTCTCCTGCCTCAGCCTCCCTCAGCCTCCTGAGTAGCTGGGATTACAGGCACATGCCACCAGGCCCAGCTAATTATTTGTGTTTTTAGTAGAGACAGAGTTTCACCATGTTGGTCAGGCTGGTCTTGAACTCCTGACCTCGTGATCTGCCCGCCTTGGCCTCCCACAGTGCTGGGACTACAGGCGTGAGCCACTGTACCTGGCCAAAAATTATTATTTAACATGAAAAGAGCACGTATAGTATGATTTTTTTTAGGAAAAAAGTTAAAACTGTCTGTCAAAATATAGCTAATGTGTACCATTTAGATAAATGCAATTTAAGAGAATATTATGCTGGAACACATATTATGTGTCTTGTGTTCAAGCACATCACATACATCATCCACATGAGCTGTCCCAAAGTCTGTAAGAGCAGAGTCACACACTCATTTGACAAATGGATGACCGAAGGCTTAGAAAGTTGAGGTAATTTTCCCAAATACATACACAGCAAGTGGTGGAGACAGGATTCAAATGTGAGTCAATGCAACTTGGAGAATTTCCGTAATGGTGGTTAAGGAAATAAATTTTGCCTGCTGAATAGTTGTAATGTTCATTCCTTCACCTCTAGGCTAACCATTTCACTTCTCTGCCTAAAATCTCCAGTGGTTCCACCTTGCATGGTTGTTTCCACGTGTGATTGACTAGGCATACTTACTAGTAAAAAATGTGAGCACACAGCCCCCAAAGCATCTTGTTTATTCACAAATTTTATATGCATTACTCTACTAAGAGATTAAGTACACCATAAAATACACACTGCTTAGAATTTAAGAACAGATCCAAATGAGAGAATTACAATGTTGACACGTGGTTATTTGTTTTTCACTATTGAGTAGGAAACCAACGAAAAGCTTCCAATGGTACTCTAATGCTGGTGAAATTTTTTAATTACCGATGACTTCACCAAAGTTTGTCTTCAAGTTTTAGGTGATTTCTTGGTAAGAGCGTTGACCATGGTCTCAGCCTCACACTGTTAGCAGTCAGCATCACATTGCACAACACTCCCTGAGGACAAGGCTCATGGTTAATAGTGGTGGATATGAATTCTTATTTCAAATAGTGCTTAACTCTTGTCAGATCTGATAAAACCATCTTTTTCTTTTCTTTTTTTGCTTGTTAATGTGGCTGGTGAAGTGCCTTAGTATAGTCTTCAATACTATTTCATTTTGTAAGAGTTGCTTTAGTTTAAACGAGGATCATGTCAACTGCAAAACACTATTATGTGCTACAGGAGACAAATCAATGCTGGCACACAGGAATGTCCGCTTTTCCCAAATGTTACCTGTGACCATCAGAAATATTCAGGCAACTGGGAGTGGGCATACCATGAGCAAAGTGAGGGGTTTTTCCTATTTGCTTTGATTAAAAATTAATATAAATGAAAGTCCTAGTATTTTATTCCTGCACACTGATGGTATGTTTCGCATCCGTTGGGATGCATCAACTGATTTTGGAGCCCAGGAAAAGTCTAAGCTATTTGGACACTAAGCTGCTACTTAGGACTCCCAGAAACCCCATGCCTATGCTCGCAGCTACATCTCTCAATATCTTCATCAACATTTATTTGTAGTTTACTGTGCTTACGTACAACCTTTCAGGTCATGGCTGCACTCAAGCTGAGTTCCCTACCTAGAAAATCCTTCCTTCCTATATTTTACTCTTAATCTAAAATTTCTACATTATTCCTACTTATCCTGTAAAAGTCAGATTCGGAGTGATTGGAAGACATTTCTTCCATGTACTTGTGAGAATTAAGGGTTAACTTGTCCAGTACTCATTCCTCAGTACGTTGGCTTGAAAAGGACTTAGCCTTGCAGGCTCAGGAAAGAGAATGGTGTTTCCCTATCAGGAACTCTAAAGCAGCAAGTGAAGAGGGGTGGATGGATGTGGAATGAGATGTGGACTTGTCACTCTGCCACCAGGACGAATATACAAAATCTGGAGTCCGTTACACTTGACATTTTCACACACAGAAGCCATGCATTTTTCAAGGTACTATAGCTTTTAATAAAAGCTCTTTGTGCTTTGAAGAGGGTGTTGGATAACAGTACATATACATACTTGTTTTAAAAAAAGAAGAAAATTAATTGAGGCCAGCATACATTTTTCCATGCCATTTCCAACTTTAACACCGTTGAAATTCCTTTAAATTCAGCTTGAGGTTCCCATGGAATCACCTCTGGCCACGGGCCGTCAGGTACAATCTTGGGATTAAGAGCTCTCTGTGAAGACCTGGTGACCTTGACCATTCAGGGCATTTCAGATTATTCTAAGGCATATTTTTAAAAGTAGGGTTTTTTCCTACATGACTAGTTTTGTTAAACTTGTAATTTCTTTTTAACATAAATTTCATACTGAAACAAGTTAAACTGTTTTTTACTGAAAGTCAGCTTTTGACAGAAGCGTACCCCTCCCTGGAGAAACAGTTCTTCAGAACCTATGAATATGTAACACCAATGACTTCTAGCACTTTTAATTTTACAAATTCCCTTCTAACGGCTTTAATTGTAATTCCTGGCATAAAAGAGGCAACAGGATAATACTTTGTTGAAATGTTTAATTGAAGTATAATACATGTATGTCTTTTATGAAACAACCTCAAACTTAGCATTGCAAGCACAGTACAAATAACTATTTTTAAATCAACAAAAATGATATCTATTTATTGTATATAATGTTGTTTTGAAATATGTATGTGTTGTGGAACAGCTAAATTGAGACAATATGTGCATTACCTCATATACTTATTTTTTGTGGTGACAACACCGAATATCTAGTCATTAGTGATTTTCAAGAATGTAATACATTGTTATTAACTACAGTCACCATATTGTGCAATACTGTGCAATACATCACTTTTTCCTCCTGACTCACTGAAAGTTTGCTTCCTGTGACCAACACCTCCCCGCCCACACACAGCCCCAACTTCCAGCCCCTGGCAACCAGCATTTTACCCTCTACTTCTCAGATTTCAGTGTTTTTAGATTCCACGTATACGTGAAACCGTGCAATATTTGTTTTTCTGTGCCTGGCTCATTTTATGTAACATCATGTCCTTCAGGTTCATCCATGTTGTCACAGATGACAGGGTATTGTTCTTTTAAAAGGTCCTATGGTATCTTATTGTGTTTATAAATATAACACATTTTCTTTATTCATTCATCAGTCAATGGACACTTAGGTAGGTCCCTACCTGGGCTATTGTGAATAGTGCGGCAAAGGACATGGGAGTGCAGACATCCCTTGACATGCTGGTTTGTTTCCTTTGGATACGTACCCAGAAGTGAGACCACTGGGTCATATGACAGTTCTATTTTTAACTTTTGAGCTGTTTTCCATAATGGCTGTACCAATTTACATTCCCACCAACAGTGTACAAGGCTTTCCTTTTCTCCACGTCCTTGCCAGCGCTTATCACTTATTATCTCTTGTCTTTCTTGTCTTTTTTTTTTTTTTAAGATAGATGTCGCTTTGTCACCCAGGCTGGAGTGCAATCTCATCTCACTGCAACCTCTCCCTCCTGAGTTCAAGCGATTCTCCTGCCTGAGCCTCCTGAGTAGCTGGCATTACAGGCACCCACCACCACACCTAGATAACTTTTGTATTTTTAGTACAGAGAGGGTTTTGCCATTTTGGCCAGGCTGCTCTCAAACTCCTGACCTCAGATGATCTGTCCCCTTCAGCCTCCCAAAGTGCTGGGATTACAGGCATGAGCCACCGTGCCCGGCCATCTCTTGTCTTTTTGATAACAGCCATCCTAACAGGTATGAGGTAATATCTCATTGTGGTTTTAATGATAATTTTTTCCCTGATAATTTATGATGTGGAGTATTTTTTCATATACCTGTTGGCCATTTGTATGACTTCTTTTGAGAAAAGTTTATTCTGTTTCTTTACCCCATTTTTAAATTGGGTTACTTATTTTCTAACTATTGAGTTTTTGAGTTCCTTATCTATTTTGAATATTAACCTCTTATCAAATGTATGGTTGGCAAATATTTTCTGCCATTTCATAGGTTGTCTCTTCACTCTGCTGATTGTTGCGTGGCTGATACAGAAGTTCTTTAGTTTGATGCATTCCCACCTATTTTCCCTTTTGTTGCTTGTGCTTTTGGAGTCATATCCAAAAAATAACTGGCCATATCAATACCACGCAGCTTTTCCTCTGTGTTTTCTTCTGTGAGCTTTACAGATTCAGTTCTTACATTTACAGCTTTAATCCACTTTGGGTTGATTTTTGTATATGAGGTCAGATAAGGGTCTCATTTCCTTCTTCTGCTTGTGGATATCCAGTTGTTCCAACACCACTTATGGAAGAGACAGTACTTTCCCCGTTATGTATTCTTGGCGTCTTTGTCAAAAACCAATTGACTGGGCCAGGCGCGGTGGCTCACGCCTGTAATCCCAGCACTTTGGGAGGCCGAGTCGGGCGGAACACGAGGTCAGGAGATCGAGACCATCCTGGCTAACGTGGAGAAACCCTGTCTCTACTAAAAAAAAAATACAAAAATTAGCCGGGCGTGGTGGCGGGCGCCTGCAGTCCCAGCTACTTGGGAGGCTGAGGCAGGAGAATGGCGTAAACCCGGGAGGTGGAGCTTGCAGTGAGCCGAGATCGTGCCACTGCACTCCAGCCTAGGCAACAGAGCGAGACTCCGTCTCTAAAAAAAAAAACCAATTGACTGTATATGTGTGGATTTATATCTGAGATCTAGAGATACTATAACTCTCTATATCTCTAGAGATACTCTAACTATGTGGTATATATTTTAAGGCAGGTAGTGTGATGCCTCCAGCTTTATTTACATAACTACTTTTGGGAGTAAGTTGCTGCCATGATGCTCCATCATCCCTGAAAACTTTACTGTGTATTTCCTAAAAACAAGACATTCTTCTACACAATTGGTCCATTCACCAAAATCAGGAACTCACATTGATACACTATTAGCATTTAATCCACAGGCCTGATGTAAGTTGTCTCAATTATGTTCTTTCTTACCATGTTTTTCATTTTTCTAATTTTCTCTTTTTTAATTTTAAGTTCCAGGGTCCATGTACAGGACGTGCAGGTTTGTTACATAGGTAAACGTGTGCCACGGTGGTTTGCTGCCCCATCAACCCATCCCCTAGGTATTAAACCCAGCTTGCATTTGTTATTATTCCCAATACTCTCCGTCCCCCCACCCATCCCCCAGTAGGCCCCAGTGTGTGTTGTTCCCCTCCCTGTGTCCCTGTGTTCTCACTGTTCAGCTCCCACTTATAAGTGAGAAGGTGCGGTGTCTGGTTTTCTGTTCCTGCATTAGTTATGCACCAGCTAAGACTATGCCTTGCATTTAGGTGCCATGTCTCTTTTGGTCCTGGCTACATTTGCATATAGGAAAACAATAACAATTAATGGCAATCATCAATACTTTCCTCTATCTAGTTAGGTTAATCTAGACATGGTGTATAAAAACAATTACATTATTAATCTTAAAAGATAAGTAAAGCGCTCATGAAAACGGGGAAACTGATACATAAATATTTTCTTCGACTGCTCATGCTGCATTCTGGAGACGACCTTCACTATTTTTTGCACAAATATTTGAAAAACATACGCAGGTATTTTATCTAAAAGATCCATGCCTTCTTAAAGCATGAAAGTTGGAAAAGTGGTTGTGGGTCCACCAAACTACAAAGCCCAATTTCTAGAAGAAATAGAGGGCATGGCACACTGCTGATGAAGAACACACAGGGCAGAAATACATAACTTGCCCGGGCGCGGTGGCTCACGCCTGTAATCCCAGCACTTTGGGAGGCCGAGGCAGGCGGATCACGAGGTCAGGAGATCGAGACCATCCTGGCTAACACGGTGAAACCCCGTCTCTACTGAAAATACAAAAAATTAGCCAGGCGTGGTGGCGGGCACCTGTAATCCCAGCTACTTGGGAGGCTGAGGCAGGAGAATGGCGTGAACCCGGGAGGCAGAGCTTGCAGTGAGCAGAGATCGCGCCACTGCACTCCAGCCTGGGCGAAAGAGCGAGACTCTGTCTCAAAAAAAAAAAAAAAAAGAAAAAAAGAAATACATAACTTGAATGAAAATGTGTATTAGCTAAAATAAAATGGTTTTAAAAAAAACAGGATCAGAGGGTTTTATAAGTGAGTTCCACTAAACTCTCAAGTAACATTCCAATTCCTTCATGTTTAAAAAAAAGAAAAAGAAAAAAAGCTGTTCAGTTTTGTTTAAATTAATTTCTAAATAAAACAGGAGCAATAAAAGAAAATGAGGATGAAATTCCATTTCACTTGTAAGTATACATATGAAACAGAATCCAAATAATATCCCATCATCAAGATTTATCTCAAGAATGTGAGGATGGTTTATCATCTGAAAAATCCCCATCAATGTAATTTAAAATAGGAAGAAACTGAAAGGTAAAGCACTTATTATCTCTTATAATACGGACGCAATGACTTAATAATAGTCCATAACTTTACTATTAAAGCAAACAGAAAAGAACAACAGAGTAAACCAGGAATGGAACAGAAGTCTCTAACTTGATAAGGGCAATATATCAAACATTGCAAAAATATTTAAATTTCTGGGAGAACTCTTAGCTACATTTTAACTTCTGAAAAAAAAAAAATAGAGGATGATATCAGCAAACAAAACAAACTCCAGAGATGAGAAATTGAAACTAGCACTCAGAGGAACGCCAGGGCAGTGGGCCTTCTGAGCCCAGAAAGGCCCGGATTCACAATGAAGGGACCTAGCCTCAGACGGCAGATGAGAGTGGCAGTGTTTAGCACTGTCCCTTAGGAGATGCTCAGTAAAATGCCTCTGCCAGCTGCCTCCTCTTCCTCACCTGTATGTAGCTGTGAAATCCTGGGCACTGTTCTCGAAAGAGCATAAGATGCTCCGAGAGGGTCGGCCTTATACGATTTAAGCTGGGCCAAGAGGGCAAGTGGAGTCTCAGGGGATGGCAGCCTGTGCTGTGGAGGTGAGGGCCACAGAGCAAAGCCCCTCCATGAAGGGCTCAAAGCAAAGGAGAGGCCTTCTGCAGTGCGGCCATTAAGATCATGGTCTGGGAAGCCAGGCTGCCTGGGTTTCAATCTCAGCTCTACCACTTACTGCATGACTCAGTTTGTTTGTCTTGTGCCCTGCACTCCTCATCTCCATGAAGAGCTAATGGCAGCACCTACTTCAAGGTTGGTTGGAAGGGGTGAATGAGTTAATCCAGGTAAAACATGAGAACAGTCTCTGTTCTTCCTCAAGGGAAGCCTCCTGACGCCTGAACACACACATTCCACTGGTGTATTTCCAGCACAAGATTCTGGTGTGCATATGCCTCCAAAATGCAATAGGGAATCTATGTAACCTTCCAATACTAATTAACATATTGTTTGGCCACACATATTAATAAACAAGCAGGAATCATCTGATTTTGGAGGTAAGTAAATAACATGAAAAAGAAATGCCAAGATGCACAAAGACAACAACTAATCATATTAATAGGACTGTTTAATGGAAGGTACATGAAAGAAGAAGAAATCAAAGAACCGGTGCTTCTCAGACTCTGACGTGCAAGTGGATTACCAGGAGATTTGTTATTAATAAATAAATAAGAATGAAATGCAGCCTGCATCAGCAGGCCAGGCGTGGACTCTGGGATTCAGCATTTCTCAACAAGCCCACCGTGTAACACCAATTGTTGCTGGTCCACGTTCCACACTTTTAGGGGTGGGGATCAAAAAGATAAAGTCAAGAAATGTTTCAGGAGTAGGAGGAAAACGACAAAAATATACAAAGAAAGAGATATTTTTAAAGTAAATGCAAAATTAAGAAGTAAAATAATTCTAATAGGCATCCTTAAAGAAGATGGCAGAAATCAGAGAGGGGAGAATATAATTTTAAAAATAAGGATATTTTCCTGGGCAATAAGGATAAAAGGACTAGTTCTCCATGCTGGCTACATGCTCTGATTTTGGGTGGCATCAAAGAATACCAATTGTTTGGCCATAATCTATGGAGGCATAGCTTACGTATCTGTGGTTTTTAAAATCATAGTGAAGTGAGAAGCACTCATCACGCATTAGAGTAAAACAGCCCAAAGGGTATGCAGCGAAAAGAAGACAGAACCCACCTTGACATATTTTATGGCTCTAAACGGGGATAGAAAATCTGAGAGGTTTTACAAGAAATATAACACCTGAAACCTACATATGAAACAAATGCCCGAATTGAATTCACCTTCTCAATAGTAGTGCCAAGTTTTAGAAGAGCAGTGCCTTCAAATTGGGAGAGAAATGCTATAAACACAGCCAAACCACATCAAAATAAAGAATGGAACTAACAAATAATGCCTTCAAGGAGAAAGGAGATTATATGACAACAAATTCTACAAATATAAATAAAATATTCATTTTTTAAAGATGGAGTCTCACTCTTATTACCCAGCCTAGAGTGCAATGGCGCGATTTCGGCTCACTGCAACCTCCACTTCCTGGGTTCGAGCAATTCTCCTGCCTCAGCCTCCGAAGTAGCTGGGACTACAGGCGTGTGCCACCACCTGGCTAATTTTTGTATTTTTAGTAGAGATGGGGTTTCACCACCTTGGCCAGGCGGGTCTCAAACTCCTGACCTCACGTGATCCACCTGCCTTGGTCTCCCAAAGTGCTGGGATTACAGGCATGAGCCACTGCACCCGGCCCAGATATTCTTAACTATAACATAAAGGCATATGTTTCTTCCACCAATAAGAAAAATAAAAATCAATTTCTCTGAGAACAATAGAGCAGTAAAAGAAAGGCATAAATCTGAACCAAATATGAAACAAACTAAAATATGATAAGATTTTTAGTAACTGATATCTCCTATAAACTCTGAGGTTTGGAACATTATTAATGATTAGTACAGGCTGAGAAACATTCAAATATCATTTCTTTCTCATGGATCCAATCGTCATACATACTTGCCCGGCCACATAATACAATCTTATAAACCTTGTCAATGTAACTGTATTACTACATCTGACAGAATTTAGGAGGAGACAAAAAAGTGGTGAAAAATGTGGATAGAAAATGATTGGTTGATAAGTTCCATCAAAGTTTGTTGAATACATCAGAGTTAAAGTATGTCGTTCAAAGTAACAATGCACTTGATGATTACAGCTCCCGTAAGTACGGGAAGAGGATGGATAGATTAACAATGGGAACAGGCTGGGAGAAGAGATGTGGGGCAAAGAATGCCAAATTATTAGGTTTTCAAGGTGGGGGGTGAATGTGCATATTTTAATGTTGATAAATCAATAGCTCCGCGATGATGATAATCCCCAAAAGAACTAAGTGGAGAAACACGTACAAGTGGCTAACTCTGGGGAACAGAACTGAGGACATGAGAGAGTGAATTCCTTTTTTTTTTTTTTCATTTTATGAAGAAAGCAGGAAAGCATGTATTACATCCATAATTAAAGATATTTTAAATGGTAATACAACCAAGCAGTTGAAATAACCTAAACATTTCAACTTCATTAATATCTATTTTTAAAAGCATTTTGAATCATCTGTTTCTCTTAGATACTTCTTCATTTTACTTAGGAGGAGAGCAGCATTCTATCGTCATTTCTTCTGGGACTTTGCACAAATCAGAAGATTTGCACAAGGCAATACTGTGGCAGCACAGAACAACTTTAACAAGTTCACGGAAAGGAAAACCATTCACATTCGAAATAGAGCTCCATGCCTCTAACCAATACCTTCCCCTGGCATATGTCTGACCTTGTCCTGGGGACTGAACTAGAGTCATTTCCTGTGTTACTCAGGACACAAGTGTCACGATGTTGTATGCACTCCAGTCTTGACTGACTAGCCCAGAAGGGCAAAAAGGCAATGTGAGGGGCTTAGTCTTGCTGCCCAGCCCTCACTGTTCACTTTCCAGAATTCTTATGGTAGGAAAATTTCTCAGTTCAAAAGCTTCAGGTTACCTGTGCATTTGCTCTTTCAATACACATGAGGAGCTCGGTGTCACTCAACCTATCCGTATTCCCCATGCTCCAAGAGTCTCACTCAGAGGTGAGCGTAGGGTTAGAAGAAAAAAATGGGAACAGTTATCATTTAAACAGTTTCTCACAACCCCCATCAGGTACAACTCTTGAGTGAGTACCAAGATTCCTTGCTTAAAAATAAAAGGTTGAAGGCCGGGCTCAATGGTTCAGGCCTATAATCCCAGCACTTTGGGAGGCCAAAGGGGGCGCATCACTTGAGGTCAGGAGTTCGAGACCAGCCTGGCCAACATGGCGAAACCCTGTCTCTACTAAAAATACAAAAATTAGCCGGGCATGGCGGCAGGCGCCTGTAATCCCAGCTACTCAGGAGGCTGAGGCAGGAGTATCGCATGAACGCAGGAGGTGGAGGTTGCAGTGAGCCGAGATCGCACCTCTGTACTCCAGCCTGGGCGACAGAGCGAGACTCTGTCTCAAAATAAATAAATGAATAAAAAGTTGTACCAAGTAGTGGCTAATTTATAAAGCAAATAACTAATCTTTTAAATGAGAGAGAACAGAAGAGTTTCTCATTTTGGAGATTAAAGCATGGCCCAGTCAGCAACTTTATAACACTGACCAGGAGAGGTACATGCCTTTGTTAACCCTGGCTGTTGTTACTGTTATATCACTAGGGTGTCTCCTCAACAACACTGTTCCTTTTTCTCTTTTCCTGTTGCTGTGAACTAGGCATCAGGCATAGTTGTGTATGAAGTTATCAGGAAAATCACAAAGATGTGTCTACCAGGGCAGGCAAACCCCAGATCCTAAGGTTTCTGTCCAGCTTTTCCATAAACTTTTCCTATTTCTTACTCCCAAGTTTGTCAAAAAACACCAGTCTTTGACTTTTTCTCTAAATGAAAACCCCATAGAATCTAAGTTCCAAGCCCAAAATTTATTTGCAAAAGAAAGGAGGAAGGAATGAAGGAAGAAGGAAGGAAATACATATTATGTCTATTTAATATACACTATGCACTTCTTTAATATATTACTTATTACATATGGATGCATTTTTATCTGTTCATTCAAGAAAGGATATGTCAAATGCCTTTGCTTGGGAACACCTACGTTCAGTTTGCTCCAAACATGTACCTGGTTTTCAAACGTCCCACACTCCTGCTTCACAGGGAAAGATTTGCCATTATGCTTAGTGGTGGGAATCTATGCAAATGGTTCCACATGCCAATGCCAAGCCAAAAGAGAAAGACAAGCCTTTGTTCCAGAAGACACAGCCCTTTACAGCCCTTTGAATCCATTCCTCTGGGAGCTTCCCCATGGGAGGACTGCTTCTTTCTGTGACCCAGCCTCACTAAATGCACTAGGAATCAGCGCACTTCACTAAATATTACATCTAGATCATGTGTGTATTTACTATAATTATGCATATTTCATCTGAACTAATTTTCAGAAACCCTTTCCTTAGCAAATCGCACATTTTACGAAATGTCAGTGTTTCCTACCAACCACCATGAAAACAACAACAAAAGCTGAAACATAGCAGGAACTCAAATCGCAGAGTATTTCAAATAGATAATTAGACTGAATTCTAAAGTTCTCTAACTACCATATATGTAATATTAAAAAGGTCATTAAATTGTTGGTGTGACAGGGTTAGTTAAACATAGGCCTAGCAGCCAGTAAAGATGCTGAGTGCAGTGACAAAGAACGGTGAACGGAGGACCTGTTTGTGAAGGATGAGGATTTTCCTGCATTCACCGTTGAGAAGTCAGTCTTCATAGGATGGTGCTGAGTAGGACTAGATAGATTTAATCACCATCACAGGAACAAACTCACTAATTATAGTAGCAGTGACACAGGACAGGTGAGACCCACAACTGGGGCTTAGCTGAGGAGGGTTCTTGACTTTGCCCAGGAAGGAACTGAGGGGTAAGTCAGTGGTGTTAAAAAGCAATGTTTACTGAAGTGGCGGTGTACAGCAGCAGCAGCGCTGCCCCGTAGGCAGTGTGCCAGGGCAGCAGCTCAGAGGCAGCATTGCATCCATATTTATACCCACTTTTAATTTCATGGGGTGGATTATGAAGAAATTTCTAGAAAAGGGTCACCAAGTTGTTGTCGTGAAAAGGGGCAGTAACTCCCAAGTGTTGCCATGGCAATGGGAAACTGACACAGCACCCTGGTGGGTGTGTCATATGGAAAGCTGCTTCCAGCCCAGCCCTATTTTAGCTAGTCCTCAATTTGGTCCAGTGCCTGAGCCCCACCTCCAGAGTTGACTTCCACCTTCTACATCAGTAAGACAAAGAAAGTCGCAAAGTTGGAAGAATATACAGAGAGAGATAAAAGCTGTATTCAGGAAGTAGATCCTTTATAAAATCCACTAGAAAATACAACTGACTTAGTAATAGCCAATGACAAAACACTGCATGTGCAGAAATTCAGGACTTTATACAAGTAATAATGAGTGAGGACGCAAGGCAGCCCTGGCCAGGACGATGAGGGGCAGAGATGATACAGGGACCAGCTATGGCTCTTCGGACCCTGACCAAGGAAGGAAAGCTACAGATGAGTAAACAGAGTTGACTCCATGAGCTCAGCAGAAATAGGGTGTTTGTTTATGTGTTTGCAGTTTTCACCAGTTCTTAGTGAGAAGTTAGGAGTTACAGTGTGCACTCCTCTGCTATTTATAGTCTGATATATTAATACAGGAGCTGTCTTGGCCAAGCTCTTCCTCTCTACAGATGCTGTCCCTTAAACACTTTCCAACATCCAATGAGCACTTATACAAAGATTGCTTTTTATTTCATTTACCGCCTTCTCAGCTGTTTATGAGTCAAACTGTTTCCTGGTACTGTTGCTGTAGGTGTATATTGGACATTACTCAGGATCTGAAGCATATACAATATCCCCAAGCTTAAATTAGTCATTGTTTCACTTGTCAAATTCAATTAACATCATATGCCAATTGCATACCATGAATCATTTAGTAAACACTGTCTAGAAATATTAACATAAATCCTGTGTTTTACTTAACACTATGTTGAATTCTGTTCATAAGTTTGTTGTTTGCAACAGTTTAAGTTTTAGTCAATTTCAAAATTCTTTTGAATGTACTATGTGTGTGTACTATGGGATAAAAGAAATAAATTAATATATTGATGTTTACGGTAATGTGGGTTCTCACTATGGGAAAAGGTAGATATGAATACTGAAAGGGGAAAGGCAATAGATAATTCTATGGTATTCCTGAAGTTATATGAATGAACTCATTAATGCACACAGACACACATACACATATTCTACCATATAGTAAAATGGTCTAGAAGCAAAAACATTGGTAGCAACGTTTATGTCTAAATGTAACAGCCAGATCCTAGGGTTTGGTAAATAGAAGATGAACCTGGAACTTCTGTGCCAAAAAGCAAGGACTCAAAGACCAATGTGGACATATCAAAACTATGTAGGAGCTGATTTAAAGGGGTTCATTTTTCTCAAACTGTTCTTTAAAGAAGAATGCTAAATGGCAAATGTAAACAAACAATATAATTATAAATCTTTCTGGTTTTTTGGAAACCACAAATGCAATTATTTATTTGGGCAGAAATAGAAATGAATCCTTAAAAAGACCGTTGAAGAATAGCATCTTGACATGGTCTGAAAGCAGTATCCCACATCTTGTCTACTAATTGCATAAGAAAAAGGCAACCTTGAAACAGGGGCGATGTCCTTTTGAGTATGAAACTCACAAGGGAGAGACTTTATCAGATCAGATGCTAGTGGGGATCACAAACGCCACCAGATGAGCTGGCGTTCTGTGTTGCTGATGGGATGTAATGTAAAGTACACACCCTCTAGGAAACGGTCTTGCCACACATGCTTCACCTGAACATACCATGAGGAAAACGGCAGGACAAATCCAGATTCTGAGACATCCCAAAAAAGGACTGGCCTGACGTCTTTAAGTATGTCAGAGTTGAGACAGACAAAAAGTGGCAGGAAGTTGTGGCTGACATGACCAGACCGCCAAATGCAACGTGTGGGCTTCACCTCAACCGGGAGAAGAAAAACAGATGTCCACAGAAGACGTTCGGAGATGGATGGGAAGATGTGCACAAGGGCTGCCCATGAAATAATATCACTGAGTCAACGTACAGGCATGGTGATGGAACAGGATGACTTTGCATTTAAGAGATGCACGCTGGCTGGACACAGTAGATCACGCCTTTAATCCCAGCACTTTGGGAGGCCAAGGTGGGCAGATCACGAGGTCAGGAGATCGAGACCATCCCGGCTAACACAGTGAAACCCCGTCTCTACTAAAAATACAAAAAATTACCCGAGTGTTGTGGCATGCATCTGTAGTCCCAGCTACTCGGGAGGCTGAGGCAGGAGAATGGTGTGAACCTGGGAGGCAGAGCTTGCAGTGAGCCGAGACTGCACCACTGTGCTCCAGCCTGGGCAACAGAGTGAGACTCTGTCTAAAAAAAAAGAGATGCACACTACAACTTTCAAACAAATCCACCAACACACACGCACACACGGACGTGCACACTCACATACATACACACATGTATCATGTTTTGTGTGAGTGCGGGGTGTGTGTAGCATGGGTATTTGTGTGTGAGAAGGAAGGCAAGTGGGTCAAAAGATAAAGAAATGGTGCATAGAGTAAATCACTGCGGTACTGTACTAGTCTTTCAAGTTTTCTACAGTCTCACAATTAAAAAAAAAAAGGTGGAGAAAAATTTTCCTGGAGAGAGAAACTAAACAACCAGAAGTTTCTGATGATTGAATTAAATCGTTTTTCAGTATGCCAAGCCTCTGAGCAGCTGGATTTTCCACACTTTAGTTTGTTGCCCTGGGGCCTCCCAGTCTTGCTTCCATAACTCAACAGAATTCTACCACCAATTGTTGAATCCAAAGTTTCGTTCCAAAGTCTCTGAAAGCAGAAACTGTGTTCCAGATACAGAGAATCAAAATGCGCTACTGAAGTCATCCAGAATATCAGTAGCCAAGACATGATCAGAGAGACCTATGAATCTAAGCCAGTTTTCTGATTTTTAAGCCAAATTGTTTATCTCCATTCAACACTCTCAATACTTGTATCTACAAACATATTGGACTAATGCAGAGAGCACATTTCCACACTGGAACAGTTGAATAGGGATGTGAAAACTCGAATATCTTTGCAACCTTCAAACAACACTTGACATTAAAAATCCATTTACAAATCCAGCTTTATGCTAAATATTGTGGTAACATTCTTAAAGACCAGACCTCTTCATGTGGAAAATGATGTCCCAGTCTAAAGTTTTTTGAAAGGATTTGCTATGAAACTGATAATAATTTTATAGGTATTCATGTCTATACAATTACTAGGACTTTTTTTACACAGAATACCTAAGTTTCTCCTACCTTATTGAAGATTCTTATTAAAATACCACATATTAAAAAAGATAAAGTAACACAAAAAGTCACAAAAGAATTGAAGTTTACTTTTTTGCTTTATTTGGCCCAACACAGTGTCTTCTAGAAGTCCTTGTCATCACAAAAATATAAAGCTTCCTTTGGATATGCACTCCCCAACCTGAATTGTAAGCACTTTGAAGACAGTAATTAGGTCTTCCATCACACTTTAGATAATGTCCTAGGCCGGGCGCAGTGGCTCATGTGTATAATCCCAGCACTTTGGGAGTCTAAGACAGGAGGATCACTTGAGCTAAGACAGGAGGATCACTTGAGCCCCGGAGTTCAAGATCAGCTTCAGAAACATAGTGAGACCCCCATCTTTACAAAATTAAAAAAAAAAAAGCTGAGTATCGTGGTTTACACCTGTGGTGCCAGCTACTCGGGAGGCTGAGGTAGGGAGGTCAAGGCGGCAGTGAGCCATGGTCGCGCCACTGCACTCCACCCTGCACAACAGAGCAAGAGCCTGTCTCAAAGAAAAGAAAACACACCATGACGTCCTGCATATATCTGCCTCTCAGAGAACTGATTCACCGATTTCATCGTTTAAAACCAATGCAATACTTTCATTTTCATGAAAATGGAAGCAGGCTTTCATGAAAACAGTCTTCAAGTTCATGTTACACAAATCCTACAGAAATTGTGGACAAATGATCTGACATCCTCCTATAAAAGGATGAGAAGAAGCTGTGCCTCATGTAACTGATCATTTCTATGTATTAAGCCATATGAAATATCATGTCTTTGCTGAGCAGAGGCTACAATTAGAAAAGACCCGATCTAAAAGAATGCTCAAAGGTCATCAAGCATGATTACATTCTGCTGCACACTGTAAAATGCATCCAAGTGTAAAGGATTATTCAACAAATTATGAATGATTCATTCATGGCAGATTTTTCATTAGAAGGTAATGTCTCCTTTCCCATAAAGTCAACATTATGATCCAGGATGCCATTTATTAGAACTTATGCTATTAAACAAGATATGAAAAGAGAATCTTCTTAAGTGTCTCACATCAGTTAAATTACCCTCCACCTGTTGGAAATAAGCACTGTGGTCAATGAAGGGAGAGGGATATGTAGTACATGTGTTACAGGATTTGCAAGAGTTATGCTTATGTATATGTATACATGTACACAATTTTCATTACTGATCTTTCACTTATGTCTGAAAGTCAAATACTTACTCCTTTTGCTTAAAATTTTGGACTCTAAATTATCCCAGGATCGGTAGTTACCCCAGGACAGCGTAGTAGTTATTAAAAAGTCAATTAGATCCCATTTGTCAATTTTGGCTTTTGTTGCCATTGTTTTTGGTGTTTTAGACATGAAGTCCTTGCCCTGCCTATGTCCTGAATAGTAATGCCTAGGTTTTCTTCTAGGGTTTTTATGGTTTTAGGTCTAACGTTTAAGTCTTTAATCCATCTTGAATTGATTTTTGTATAAGGTGTAAGGAAGGGATCCAGTTTCAGCTTTCTACATATGGCTAACCAGTTTTCCCAGCACCATTTATTAAATAGGGAATCCTTTCCCCATTGCTTGTTTTTCTCAGGTTTGTCAAAGATCAGATAGTTGTAGATATGTGGCATTATTTCTGAGGGCTCTGTTCTGTTCCATTGATCTATATCTCTGTTTTGGTACCAGTACCATGCTGTTTTGGTTACTGTAGCCTTGTAGTATAGTTTGAAGTCAGGTAGCGTGATGCCTCCAGCTTTGTTCTTTTGGCTCAGGATTGACTTGGCGATGCGGGCTCTTTTTTGGTTCCATATGAACTTTAAAGTATTGTTTTCCAATTCTGTGAAGAAAGTCATTGGTAGCTTGATGGGGATGGCATTGAATCTGTAAATTACCTTGGGCAGTATGGCCATTTTCACGATATTGATTCTTCCTACCCATGAGCATGGAATGTTCTTCCATTTGTTTGTATCCTCTTTTATTTCCTTGAGCAGTGGTTTGTAGTTCTCCTCGAAGAGGTCCTTCACATCCCTTGTAAGTTGGATTCCTAGGTATTTTATTCTCTTTGAAGCAATTGTGAATGGGAGTTCACTCATGATTTGGCTCTCTGTTTGTCTGTTGTTGGTGTATAAGAATGCTTGTGATTTTTGTACATTGATTTTGTATCCTGAATATTTTCACAACCTACTCGTCTGAAAAAGGGCTAATATCCAGAATCTACAATGAACTCAAACAAATTTACAAGAAAAAAACAAACAACCCTATCAAAAAGTGGGCGAAGGACATGAACAGACACTTCTCAAAAGAAGACATTTATGCAGCCAAAAAACACATGAAAAAATGCTCACCATCACTGGCCATCAGAGAAATGCAAATCAAAACCACAATGAGATACCATCTCACACCAGTTAGAACGGCAATCATTAAAAAGTCAAGAAACAACAGGTGCTGGAGAGGATGTGGAGAAATAGGAACACTTTTACACTGTTGGTGGGATTGTAAACTAGTTCAACCATTGTGGAAGTCAGTGTGGCGATTCCTCAGGGATCTAGAACTAGAAATACCATTTGACCCAGGCATCCCATTACTGGGTATATACCCAAAGGACTATAAATCATGCTGCTATAAAGACACATGCACACGTATGTTTATTGCGGCATTATTCACAATAGCAAAAACTTGGAACCAACCCAAATGTCCAACAATGATAGACTGGATTAAGGAAATGTGGCACATATACACCATGGAATACTATGCAGCCATAAAAAATGATGAGTTCATGTCCTTTGTAGGGACATGGATGAAACTGGAAATCATCATTCTCAGTAAACTATCGCAAGAACAAAAAACCAAACACCGCATATTCTTACTCATAGGTGGGAATTGAATAATGAGAACACATGGACACAGGAAGGGGAACATCACACTCTGGGGACTGTTGTGGGGTGGGGGGAGGCGGGAGGGATAGCACTGGGAAATATACCTAATGCTAGATGACGAGTTAGTGGGTGCAGCGCACCAGCAAGGCACATGTATACATATGTAACTAACCTGCACATTGTGCACATGTACCCTAAAACTTAAAGTATAATAATAATAAATAAATACATTAAAATAAATAAATAAATAAAAATTTGACATGTTTCCAAAGAAAAAAAAAAAAAGTCAAATGAGATTTTAAAATATTTCCCAAGTGTTATCTGAGAGATCACTTTGAGAGAAGGAAAGCAAGCGGTGTTTGTCATGAGCTTCGTCCAAATCAGAGGCCTTGAGTGTTCGGAGGATCATCTAAACCCATGAAAAAAATCAGCTGGCAGGAGCCCATATGGGTCAAGATGGCTTCTGGAGATAGATAAAAGCGGATGTCTGAAGTAGACTCCCTACTTCCCAGCTGTAACTGGCAGTAGAGTAATCTTGCTAGGACCAAATATCCTTTGGTACTGCATACATCAATAGCACTAGCTAAAAAGATTGATCTGAGTTATCCATTTATTTTAGAGTTTAAAATACACTCTCCACAGCATCTTTTTTCCACTGGGAATCCAGAGATGTTTTACTTCCCGTCTCTATAAAAAGCCGCCTCACAATTTACAGGGCCACTGCCCACTCTTCATACTTTAAAAGATATAGATAGGAATTCAGAAGAATAAGAATCCCTCCTTATTTGCAGATCAAATTTACCCTTCAGCAAACTTCATGGGCTGACACATTACCCTTGAGCAGGGGGTATAGATATACAATCATTAAGAATAATCACCAAATATTTCAATTTACTTGATTTAACAAGCTTTTAAAATCCATTGCAAGGGGGTAAAATTTGATTAATAAACTGCAGGCCACATAAGGATCTTGTACAAGGTGACTTATTTAACTGACTCCACAGAAAAGTCAACAAGCAATCCATTGATCACAACATGCAAACAATTCCTACTTGAGTGTCCCACTGGCTTAGCGGCAGATTTGGGTCTCAATTGCTGATCAATTTCTGCATTATGATTCTGGCATGAAACAGCTCTCTAGGAAAGGGACGACATCATAAAGATGTGTATAAGAGAAAGAAGATGGCTGAGCCCTGGCCTCACGGACTTTTTGTCACGCCCTTTTCAATCAGCTAGAATCCAATCTGATAATCATTTACTGTGTCTTAAGGGACGAGAGCACGTGTGTACATTAGATCCTGTATACGTTTACGCTGCACATTTAGATTGAGTGTGTACTGTGTGCCTGTCACTACCATAAGTCACTATGGGTTCAGAGATAAAACAAATAGCTCTATGTAAGGTGCTCACAGTCTAGACAGGCAGAGAATAGGAAATATAGAACAGCAATACACTGAAATAAGTGAAATTGCAGAGATATGCACAGGCGTGAAAGTCATTTAGAGGGTGGAGAACATAGGGGAGTTTTGAGTTGACTGATGGAGCTGAAATATGGGCAAATGTTGGAAAGGAATACTTTGCACCAGACTGCAAAGATCAAATAATAACAAATTCAGGGATGTGTGTTTTAGTCTGCTTATATTGCAGAGGGACTGAAGGATTTTTAACTGAATGACAGCATCCATTCCAAACTTCATCAGACAACAGGATAGAAGGCAGAGTTTCAGCTCAGTGAAGTATGTTTTATCAAACTGTCCAGGATGGTTTCTGAGTAACACATAAAAATGTAAATCACTGTGGGAAAGCAGCTGTAATTCACGATGACATAAAAACCACTTTAAATCATAAACACAAAGCAGGGAAAGAAAAAGCTTCTTAAAGTGGGAAGGGAGAGAAAGTGGGGCTTAAAATAGATAATGAAGAATGATTTTAAATCTTGTTATGCTGGCACGTAAATGGTTTTGCATCAGACAATTCTAGAGAAAGGTATGTGATTCCAAGTGGGAGTCATGTTCAGGATGAGATACCCAAGCAGTCTGACATATGCTTGCAGTCTACTAGGCGTAGGCTTTCGCCGAAGGGCCTAAGCCTAGGGGAGGCTTAATCACAGATCCCACGCTGTGGCCCTTTCCCTGCATCCTGGCCATGTGAACTATAGTAAAAGTGAAATTGTATGAGACTGCGAGAAAGACCTATGCATTTCCAAGCCAAGTCTCCCTCAGCAGGTGGGGAAAATTGGGGGGAAGGTACAGACCATGTCCCTGTAAAGGCTGCTCAGTAACTCCTATGCTCTGACCAGCTCTTGAGATGGTGTCAGAACCTGTTGATTTCCTTCTCCACTGCAGCTTGATTCATCCACACTAATGCAGTTCTGCACGAACAACAGCCTCAAGATGGAATCCCAACACAGGTTCCAGGCTCCATCCTTTCTGGAGTCAGGTTTGAGGACAAGCCTTTTACCTCTATGCACAGAGAGAAACATCTGAGTGAATGCAACTGATGGAAATCAAATATTTAAAAGTAAACATTTTTGGGCCGATGTGGTGGCTCATGCCTATAATCCCAGCACTTTGGGAGGCTGAGATGGGTGGATTGCCTGAGGTCAGGAGTTCAGGACCAGCCTGGCCAACGTGGGGAAACCTTGTCTCTACTAAAAATACAAAATTAGCCAGGCATGATGGCACACACCTGTAATCCCAGCTAATTGGGAGGCTGAGGCAGGAGAATTGCTTGAACCTGGGAGACAGAGCTTGCAGTGAGCCAAGATCACGCTGTTGCACTCCAGTCTGGGCGACAAGAGTGAAACATTTTCATTAACATTTCAAATTTTAAAAATGAGTATGATTGGGCCGGGCGCAGTGGCTCACGCCTGTAATGCCAGCACTTTGGGAGGCCGAGGCGGGTGGATCATGAGGTCAGGAGATCAAGACCATCCTGGCTAACATGGTGAAACCCTGTCTCCACTAAAAAAAATTAGCCAGGCGTGGTGGCCAGCGCCAGTTGTCCCAGCTACTTGGGAGGCTGAGACAGGAGAATGGTTGTGAAGCCGGGAGGTGGAGCTTGCAGTGAGCCGAGAACGCGCCACTGCACTCCAGCCTGGGCTACAGAGCGAGACTCCATCTCAAAAAAAAAAAGAGTATGATCACATTAAAAAGAAGTAAACATTTCAGCTTAGAGCATACTACATTTTTAAAATTAAATGCTTCCCCTAGTTTTCAATATTATACATGAATGTATTTGCTTCATTTTTACAAACACATGGCAGGTATACATGAAGCTGTGGCTGCTCAGTCAATGCCAAGCAAAAGGCCTGAAGTCCTAACCTTGAAATGCCCAATGATGAGTTAATAAAGTCAGCAACATTAACATGTGCTCTTTTACAGCCAAATAACCAACCACAACCAAAAGAGTATTTAATATTTGCTTTCATTTATAAGGTAACCAGTGCATTACAAAAAAGTTAAAAAGCCTACGATTCTCTGAATAACTTGGAACTCCTATAAGCAACACTTGACAAATTAGCAACATGGGCGTGGAGGTGTCCTGGCCTTTGAACACGAAGATGATGATGTCTTCCTTGTCATGCTGCCAGTCTAGAGCACACATAGACTTGCGTTTCTAATTATGATAATAACTCATCTGGCCACATCCACAGATCATCCCATTGCATTTGTGACCAACAGCACACACGTTCAAAATAGCTGGTTGAAATGAGGTATGCCTATTGGTTATGGAATAAGCACAGGGAAGTGAACTAATCAGATAGATATTATAGTAGTAAGTGAGGGTGAATTTCTACTTCAGAATAGATACCTTCAAAGATTTCCTTTAACAAGTTCTTGTGGATCCTGGTAGACCCAAAGAAAAAGCACACTTTTTCTTCTTAGAAAGGAAGTGAAGATACCTTATTAGTTATGAGAAAATATGACAGACTTTGTTCCAAAGCACTGCAGGAAGTGCTCGGTAATCCTGCAATTGGCACAAAGTCTACAGGGCTTTAAATCAAGGGGCCTCGGGATGATCAGGGAAAGGACTGTGAATAAGCTGCCAACCTGTGTTTTGCCTTGAAGGCTGGGCAGGGCTGTCAGGTACTCAGACATTTTCTCTCACCTCCAAACTCTTCCACACTCTGCTCTGGATGCTATAGACACAACTGTGCCAACTACTTTTCCCAAAATGTTTTGCCAGCTGGATTTGGTGAGCTGTCAACAGGAGGCAGGAATTCACAATGCAGGAGAAGAGGCAAGGGAACTTCCTTATTCCTGTCTGCTTGCGGTTTGTGTCAGCAAAATCACATGAGCTCAAGTTCCCCAGCAGTGGCGCGCTGTCCCAGAAGCAGCTGTTTTTTCCCCTCCTCTGGCTTCTTTTGCCACTTCCAAGAACAGTTTATCTTGCCCCTCTAAGGAGCCAGTGGCAAGCGGGTCTTTAGGTAAGAAGCCTTGAAGGAAGGGAGAAGGGCTGCTTTCTCTGGGAGGGGAGAATCAGAGAGATTTGGAAATTCAAAATCAGCTTTGTCTGAATCTATTTAGATGACTCCAGTCTCAGGGTCCAATATCTTGCCAATCACTCTGACTTTCACACACAAGGCTGTTTGAAGGTTCTTGAACTTAATTGTAATTCTGTAACATTTTGGATGTTATTTTCTGCAACTCAGCCCTATGACTAAGAGGGGAGAAAGTTATCATTATCTTTTTAGTTCTTCAGGCCAAAATAGAAGTTCTCTGTTTTGTTGTTGTTGTTCTTGTTGTTATTTCAGGTAGGGTCTTGCTCTGTCATCCAGACTGGAGCTCAGTGGCGAGACTGTGGCTCACTGCAGCCTCAACTTCTCAGGCTCCAGTGATCCTCCCACATCGACGAGTAACTGGGACCACAAGCACACCCAGCTAATTTTTATATTTTTTTGCAGAGACAAGGTTTCACCCTGTTGCTAAGGCTGGTATGGAACTCCTGGGCTCAAGCAATTCTCCTGCTTCATCCTCCCAAAGCATTGGGATTATAGGCGTGAGCCACTGTGCTTGGCCCATTTATTTTTTATAAAAAGTATCCCGAGTTTATGATTTCCTATCACTAGACTTCTAGCCATTTAACCCCATAGTCCTTGTCATCATCATTTCTATCATCACAGGTAGGTATTGCAAGGACTTTCACCTAATAGGACAACCATGAGCTGGAGTAAGGGAAACATACATTTCTGCTCAGGATTATCAGCTCTGAACTGCAACCAATTCATGGTAACTAAAACTCCATGTTGGTCACCAAAGTGGAGGCTTTTGGTGGTAAGGTGATAAATGGATGAGGCCCACGTCTATTTTACGGAGATTGCAGAAGGTTCAGAAATGCATCACTTGGTTATTTTTCTAGTTCCTGAATATGTAATTAGAACAGACATTTGCAGCAACTGGCAGAATTCCTGCATGTCTCTCTGCCCCCTGGTGTGAGCGATATTAAACCAGAGCCAGGAGGCTTCTAAAATATGACCTTCCTACCAGAGGATGTTAATATTGCTGGGGGAAGGGCAACGATTAATATCTCTGTCAAAGATTTGAAAAAGGCAAGTCTCATCTACTTACTCCATACTCATTTAACTCACCTGTTTGGCCCATGCACAAAGCAGTTGGACTTAGAGAATAATTGTGAATTACCATAAATTTACTTAGCTTGTGATTGCAATTGCAGCTGCTCTTCCAGATATGATATTTTCACTGGAACAAATAAACACAGCTCCTGGCATCTGGCAGTTTACACCTTTTGATCAGGCAAATTAATTCATAGCAACTTTCAAGGATCACCAAAAGCCATTTGCTTTTGCTTGGTCGGGTCCACATAGCACCTGCACTTTTCTCTGGGTGATGTCAACTCTCCTGCTCTTTGTCCTGACTACATTTGCAGAAATGTTGATCATGCTTACCTCAAACTAACTATACTGACAACATGTACCACACAGACCAGATGAACAGAAAATAGCAAATACCTTAAATGTCTGAATAAGATGTATGCCAACCCGTGGAAAATAAAGCCCATGAAAATGTAGGCACCATCATTTTAGTGAAGTTCTTGGGGGTTGAATGCTTCCGAGCATGTGAGGATATACCCTCCAAGTTAAAAGGTGAGTTTCTGGAAATTGCAATGTGCTTACCACTAAAAAAGAAGGACAGTACTTGATGGGCCTCCTTGGGCTTATATGTCACTTGTACTGCTTTCACCCATTTATCAAGAAATGTGTAAGGCTACCAGTTTTGATTGGAGTCTTGGGCAAGAGAGGACTGCTGCAGATTCAGATGGCAGTGCAAGCTGCTTTGCCTTATGACAAGGGCCTTATGATCCAACAGATACAATTATATGTCAATGTCTATGACAAACAGAGGTTCTGTTGTGGTTAGCTGCTGGGTCCTGATACAGACTAAACACCTCATTCTATGAACATAAAGAAACCATGTGGGGTGGCCATGATGAAGGGGATGAGAGCTGGCCTGCTGCATCTCTGCTGGCTCAGCTCATACCTGTGGACTCCTAGGAGAGAGAATTTTGACCAAATCACATAGGAATGAAAAACCTCAGGCCTTATTTACAGATGAGCAGTACAATATACTGTCACTAAAACACTGGTTGATGCAGCATGTGGTTATTTACTTGGTCAAGATTGAGACAGAAGTATAGGAAACAGTGATTATTTGGTGATCATTAGGGGTCTGGTTGGAAGGTAAGGGGCTTGGAAAGAATGGGATTAGAAGGCTGAAAACAAATTGTTCTTACTGAATCCTCAAAACTGAGTCTCCAGTGTGAAGATATCTGCACTCCATAGAAATGCTCTCTCAAGGGGGTTCACTGCAGAGGAGGCTGTCAGTAATCGGGCCAACAAGACGACATGCCCTGTGAATGTCATGGAGCCTCTTTCCTCAGCCTCTCCTATTTACCAGATGAATCCTGTGGCAAAGACAGAGCTATGCTTGGGCAGCATACAACCTCCTCTCGCCAAGGCTGATCTGCTACCAACACTCCTGTGTGCTCATCTCCTGCAGCAGTGAGTGCTCAGCATGGAACAGGGCACAGTTCTCCCAGAAGGGGCCTCTTAGGAGTGGGTTGATTACTTTGGACCCTTACATTATGCAGGAGGCAGCAAACGGTCCTCGCTGGAAAAGGCATTTATTTTGGGTATGGATTCATCATTCCTGTCTGCCTTGTTTCTAGAAAAATCATTGTCCACAGGTTTATAGAATATCCTAGTCACGATATGGCACTCACACACATGCTTCAGAACAATGAACTCATTTTGCTGCAAAGGAAGTATGGCAATGGGATCATGTCTGTTGATTTTTCTCATATTATCAAGTCTCCCAGAAGCAGCTGGGCTGATGGACTGCTGACTGACCTAGAAAAGCCTTAGTGGTGGTGTCAGTAGGTGACAACATTTGGATAGCCTGGGGCTCAATCTGTTCTATCTATCTATCTATCTATCTATCTATCTATCTATCTATCTCTGATATATATTTGAATTCTTATATATGCGCTGACCCAGCAACCAATATATGGTGCTGCTTCTCTCACTGCCAGAAAACACACCTGCAGAATCAACTGGATGATGTGGGAGTGGCTGCTTTCACTACTATATCTAATAACCCATTCACAGAATGTTTCATTCGTGTCTTCTCAGCTCTGGGCTCTGCTGGTTTAAATGTCTTCGTACCCAAGAGGGCAAGGTTTCCACCAGGAGAAACAAAAATAGTTAAAAAAAAAAAAAAAAGTTGAGACTGGTACTTGCCCATTTTGAGTTCCTTAAACACTGAAGTAACAAGAAAAAACGGGGGATACTATGTTGCCTGGGATGCTGGTCACAATTTCTAGGGAAAAACTGAATTGCTACTACACAGTAGTGAGGGAGAGAAATGGATCTCATTTACAGGGGAATTCCTGTGGCAGCTCATGGTATTTCCATGTCCAAAAGTACAAGTTAATGAAAACTATGGCAACCAATAAAGATTAAACTGTTGGGTATTTAGAGCTTTCAGGAATGAAGATTTGGGTCACATTATACAATGGGAAAAAAAGGCAACCTCCAAACAGATTATGGCTGAAGGAAAAGGTAATAGAAGAGGAACTGTAGAAAAGAGATGTTATAAACAAATATAAACTTATCAGTTATATGAATACAGTGTAAATATAGGTATGTATATGGTAACTAATATTTCATTTCTTCTTTACCGCCACTAGTTACTTATATGTTTGTAATTTTGTGGTTAACTTTATCATTTAAGTTATTCTTTAGGTTATAAGATTCTGTTGCAAGTAAGAAGAAACTACAAGAGAAATTAACATCTTTTAGACAAGGATAGTATGATGGTTGGAAATTGTGTCTTCCATTGCTCAGGAGAGGCCAAGAGAGTGTTTGAACGAATAGTTATTTTTTATTAGGTATACCCATGGAGTATTTACTGTTATGAAAAGGAAGTTTGAGTATGTGCAAAGCAGTATATGTTCTGAAAAGATATGGTCAGTGTGGACCCAAAGGGTTGGTCAATATGAATTACTTAACTATTGTTTCTAACATCAAAACCCTCCATTTGTATTCTATTCTCTAATGTTTTGACATTAAATTACTCAAAACTCTTAACAGCTAGTTTCTTGTTAGACTATACCGAGAGGAGGCACTAGAGGGAGACTGGAAAACAAGAGGAAGGGAGAAGGGGCTTTTCTTCTTCCTGTTGAGTTGATTGCCCTGTAAGTATCACTCTGGCAGCAGCACACAACCCGAGCAACAATTGCTTCTCCCAGAAGCAGCACTTAGTCCAAGCACCAGCTGTTGTTTCCAGCCTCTAGTTAGTTTTAAGCAAGGAGAACTAGCCTCATCATGCCATTTTGATGATCCAAACCCAGCTCCGAGAAAAGTCCCATCTGTGAGCTTTCAGATTCTGACAAACCTACTCTCTTCCACTTCCTTTCACCAACACCAGGGCTGGTGGGAGCTTCTTACTGTTAGCATGTCTCAATTCCCTTAATATTTCATTTTTGCTTTTCAGTTTTCTAACTCTGTGTAATGAATTCTCTACTTAAAATTTCCTCTGCAAAAAACCAGTGGGATCTGTCTTTCCCTCGCTGGGAAAGGGACAGAGCAGGGTTTTAATCAGTGAGGTTGGGAGTTCACTACACTACATTAAGTACAAAGTTGTAAAGAGCCTAAGCCAGGGATGAATAACAGCAGACATTAAGCAAGAAAAGCCCATTGAGCTGGAATCTGATTTGAAATGCAATTGAAAAGGGAGAAAATCAAAGATAACCGCAGGCTCTGTGGCTGGGTGAATGGAGTATGAACGTTGAGGTTGTGGGTGTGGCTGGGAGACATTGAATTTGAGGTGTCTGGGGAGCATAAAGATGAACATTTTCACAAGCAAGTGAGAACTGTCTAACATCCAAGAAAATGCCACGGGATTAAAAATAAAGACTTGAGGAGAATCTGCAGATAAGTCTATTTCACTCTGAGGGAGTATAAGACAGCTGGATAGGAGAGTTTTGAGAAGGAAAAGGCAGACGCCAAGAAGTAACCTTCGGGACCATCCATGTTTCGGGTGCTGAGGAGCATGGCAAGTCAGCCAGAACAATTAATCAGGGTTAGTCATGGAAGAATGACTAAGAAGGAATGAAATCCCTCAGTCAAGTGTCAAAGAAGTCAGGGAAGTCTTAGAAAGTGGGAGCCTGGAGAGGAAGTCAGGGTCAGTGGTGCCAAATGCTTGCATAGGAAGCTCTGCCGGCATCAAGTACGATTATTATAGAAAGTGAGGAATTCTCTCAAATGCCACCTTCCAACCTGCCAGCTGTCCTGTGGGAATGTGACACGTAGTCCTCAGTTCTGATTTAATAAGAATGACACTAACAGTTAGCAAACATAGAAACGGGAAAAACGCTGCCAACATCGTGTAGCACATCCCTAAATACAGCCCATAGGGACTGTCTCCACATGCTTCAGAATCCAGCCCCGGAGCTCCACGAATAACTGCATGTGAGTCCACGGGCGGCACCACACCTCAGAGGGAGAAACACAGCCCCCCTTACATTCTCAAGGAGGCGCTGCTTTTGATCTTTTATTTTCCTTTGAGTTCTTCACTGGCGCAGAACTTTGTTCTATTTGATTGCAACATGTAAATATTATCATCATGTCTTCCTTTATTAGGGACAATATTTTTTTCCCTACAAAAGACTTGAGCTGAAAGACATAAAACACTGTTTCAGTTTCAGGAATTCTAGGGAGGATTAGAAGAAAGGGTTAGAACACGATTACCCCTGTGGAAATCTAGGGAAAAGATCCCATACCTATTTTCTTGTCTTTACCCACCCAACTACTCACAACCCGTCACTTATACACAAACAAATAGTCACTGTGCAACACATCTTCTATTTCTGGTAACGTACCATGGCCAAAGTCATAAAAGGGTCAATTATTGAACCTGGTAGAGCTGGTGGCAATTTTCAAACAGAGGCACAACTCACATTTAAAGATGATACATGGCAGGTACTCAATAAGTATTTGTTGAATGAAGGTGTAAATGGCTGTTTGATGGCTAAGACATGTCTTGTCTAGGTTTGTGACTCCGTTACAGTTGGAGGGTGAATTGCTGTATTTAAAACGGGTAGAGAACTGTCAGAGATATTACCTGCTACGAAGATCGTCAGATCTATTAGATATGGATGATGTTTCATTGCCAGAAACAGCTTCACCTAAAAATTAGCAGCCACAGAAGCAGGGCTTCTGTAGATTATGATGTCTAACAGATCAACTCCATATATGATACATGGTTGCAAATTTGAGCAACATAATAATATTTTTGGGTGCCTATTAACTGTTTTAACACTGTGAAAAAGCACAGTGGGAGATAAAGGAAGAAACAATGGCTGTGCTATATGCATGCTTATCACTGCAGAAACAAAGACCGAGACACAGAGTTCTCATTCTCATTCCCAATGGGAAGCAGCACTAAACACAGAGTTCTGCATGTGGACGTGCTATCAGGGCTTAGCCAGTGGTACCTGGTCATTTCTGAACTCATGAAATAGATGATGCATTAATATACTGAAATTTGTTTTTCTAAAGCCCTCAAGGATTGTTACTTATCCTTTAACCGTGGCTGCCTAAAACTGGCTTAATTGGTTTCGATTGATTTAACAACCCTTCTTCACTTAGTTTATCGTTATTTAGGAAAAGGTCAAATTATGTGGTCATTGTTGCCATGGTTCATTTTGGAATAGCAAAGTCACACATTTTCACAAGTTTTCTCATTGACAAATTAAATAAATGTCCATTTTTAGCAAGGTTTCTCATTGTGAGGAGCCCCTCCTCTCCTCTAGGCTCCAAACCACATTTAATCCTCCTGCAGACCAGCTACCAAATGTTTATTTCTCCTGAGCTTTTGCAGCTACTCTTGGTCCACCTTGAGTTAAAATTAGAATTTCTCTGGATCTATCAAGAAATATCTCTCTTCTATGCCCCAGTGTCTGTTCAACCAACAGTCTCCTCTTTTACTCTAATTCATTTTCCTGTTTGTTTGTTTGTTTGTTTGTTTGCTTTTCCCTAGGAAGTATGAGCATTCCCTTGTTTAATATTTTCCTCATGTTACATTTTACACTTTCCCATGTTCTCTCACTGAACTGCACTTTGCATTTATTCAGTTAAATGTAGATTGCTTCCAGTACATACTGTGACATAACATGTTTAATAACTGAAATCCAGAACAGATATTATCTGCACCAATGTAGTGTCACATTCAATTACAAGCTCCCAGTTCTTTTCCTTTTTACATTATTGATTTCTAAACCAATAAAATGGATACTTATTCAAAGCCAGAAGGATTTCAAGAAATATATTGAAATAACTGTCAGATAATCTTGGTGAACTTTGTAACAAAATCAATTATACAATGTTCGTACCAAGTTGCAAAGGCAAGGCACGCTGCCGCTGTGACTACCTGCCTAATGCACTCAATGCCAAATGACTTTTCTCCCAGACACAACATGAAAAGCCTGTTACTCAAAAGGTGCTAGTCTACCAACTCAACTTTTGCTTTCCAAATATAATGCTTTTCATTGCTGTCTAGCAAAAAGGAGCTAAAGAGTGAGAAAGATGAGTTAAAAATGCAAACCAAAGGAAACTTAAAGACCCAAAGGTTCAAAAATCAGTAGGCATACTAAAATAACATTATTTCTCTTCTTTGCTATGTTTCTCTAGAAGTAGTGAAATAAGTGAGTACCTTATACCATAATTTCACATCCCAGGAATCAATGGCCAAGTATAGCCATAGAAAGAGTTGCGGTGAAAAAACTGAGGAATCAAATGAGAAAAGAAACATTGTAATAAAATGTGCATCGTTGAGTCATAGGGAAAATCTGCCTTCAAAACTTTTCCTAGAAATTATAAAAACTGCCCATTACTTTGAATAACACATTGTAATTTTAAAATACTTCACTACATAAAAAGGCAAATTAAAAGAATCCTTTGATTGTTCCATCCCTATGGAGCCTTATGAATCCCATAATCCTTGAGAGGTATCTTTACTGGCATACTTATAAATACACAATTAAAATATACAATGAAAATCCAGTAGGTATTCATCCCTTCACTTGCGGGACTCCAGCTATGGCAGTATGAGAGCTCTGTACTCCTCACCTCTTCACACTATTTCTTCTGCATGATACAACTCTTCTACTTCAGCCCTACTTCTCTTGTTAAGAATGTTTACTCAACTGAGAGGTCACATCCTCAGTGAGACTTCTTATTGCCAAAAAACTCCACTGGGCTCCCTTATGCTTATTTCCTCCAGAACTTTCTGCTTTCCTTCCCTCAGCTTTACTGCAGTAACTACTGAATGTCTTCAGTGCTAGAGTGTGGGCCTCCTGAGGGCAAGAGCCATGTCTCTTCTGTTCACAACAGCATTGCCAGTACCTTACTCAATGCCTATCACATAACAGAAAATATGTAGATGTCAAATTAGTAAATGAAAGTGTGAAGTGGATGGTAAAAAGTCATCATAGTAAATCACTAAAGGGGTTCCTTTACCTGTTTTGCATATATTTGTGTTTTTAAGGGGTCATACAGCCTGAAGATACACTATATATATTTGACTACAGATAATGCATCAAAGCATTGGATTTTTATGGTAGAAGAACAACATCTAGATCATAGTATGTGGCAAAAAGTGAGAGAGATGGGAAAGAGGCCAAACGTAGACAGCATCTGTAAGCCATAGCACCAGCCGACTGTACAATCTCACACCTTACTATAGGAGAGAAAGCAAGTCCACATTATCTTTTCAGTAGTGCATTTATACTACAAGTATCCTGATAAGAAAAGTTGTCTTGGGCCCTGTTATTTTCTGAATGTATGTATACCTCCCAAAATTTATATATGGAAACCTAATCCCCAATGTGATAGCATTAAGGGTGGGGGCCTTTGGGAAGTGATTAGGTCACAAGGGCAGAGCCCTCATGGATGGGATTAGGGCCCTTATAAAAGAGGCCCCAGAGAGCTGCCTCGCCTCTTCCACCATAAGAGGTTGCATAAAGAAGGTGCCCATCTATGAGAAACTCCTCAGAAGACACCTAATCTGCTGGACACCTTGATCTTGAAGTTCCAGCCTCCAGAACTTTGAGAAAGAATTGCTGCTGTTTCTAAGCCACCCAATTTGTGACATTCTTTTATTAGCAGTCTGAGGTGACTAACAAGCCCTAATTCACTTAAATGGTAAATGAATGCTTTAAAATGTACACTCAACCAACATTTTGAGAATCATCTAAAGGATAACATCATATAGGGACTGATCAAAGGGTTTTATGATCCTAATGAATGTGAAACCACAGGCTACAAAAATTCTCAAGAGCAAAAATTCCTGATCAGATTTTATCAGAATTTACTGGGTAGCTTTATATTAAGTACTTCATCATCATTAATATACCTTAGGTTTCTTAAATGAGCTTTAATTTTATTTACAATAGATAACATTTTGTTGGCATCTACAAATTCTGGGAAATATTAGAGAAAGTAACATGAATACAGCTTTAATTAAATAAAGATTCAAATATAAATAAGTGTTTGCAACTGGTATAAAATGTCATCTTTGTGGAAGCATTTTATCAGCTTAACATTTTGCTGCTACTAACATAGATGAGGCAGAACTAATATGGCCAGAAGCAAGGAGAAACATGCATGGAATAAGTGCTGTAAATTTTTTTCTAGAGCTATATATTCCTTAGTCAGCATGCAAGGAAAATGGTAAACAAACAAGGATGCTAAATAAGAAAAACTTGGAACGTTCCTCAATGTACCAAACAGAGTGTGAATATGCCACTTCATTAGAGGGTGGAGCATTCTAATTTTATAAAATAAAGTTAAATATACTAATTTCATTTTCAAATATTTAACACTTTACTATAAAATACTTTTCCTGATGTGAGGACTGATTCACAGAACTGCATAAGGTTATTTATAATGTTTTATAAATATTATTTGAAATGATATATAATGGCCTACTTCTTAAATTATAGAGTAAATATATACAGTAAGTCCAAAACTATTTTTACAACATCTGAGAAACAAATTTTCCCCTGTAGAGTGTTTACACTGAGGAAAAAACAGCTAGATTATAGAAGTTAAAAATATACGAAAATAGGAAATAATATGTACTAATTAAAGTAAGAAAAAAATGAGCCTTACAGTCTCAGAGGCTTTAGAATTGAGGAGTAGAGAATGAAGCTTGCTTCTCAATTAGCTTTGGAAAAATAATAAAGAACAAAACAGCTCTCCAACACAAGGCTCCATCTTATTGTACAGACCCTACCAAACGAAGAATGATCTTTCTGGCCCCCAAATACAGGAATCTACCACTCTGCAGCCTGTCCTCACTTCTCTTCTGCCCCACTGCCCCACAAACACCTTTCGAATGCCCACAAATGCCTCTCACCTCAGAAATCCTTTTTTGTCTTGATACTGCTTCTTAAATAGAAATATCTTGTTTTAGTCAAACCCATTCATTTCATCTATCACACAACAGAAGGTTTCTATTTTTAGAGGTCAAAAATCTCAGTGATAACCCAATAAAATCAAACCTCTTCACGGGTAACAACTGTATACACACACACACACACGGACACGTAATTTTGCATGCATTTCAAGGTTTACAGAGCAGGTCCAGGTCTGATGTTAAATCAATGTGCATCAGAATGGCTCGAATGCCAGTAAAATATGGCCAGGGTCCATTTTGATTGGCTGTAGTGTGCATTCACATTGGGAGGTGCCCAGGAACAACCAGTTGATAAATATTTAGAATAGCACTCTCTCTGGGGACATGGATCCCAACCTAGATAGTAGCAGTAGGAAATCAATGCACTGCTACATCTATGGTGACTATCCATCATACAGGAAGCTATGTATGATACATACTGAATGCAATTTATATTTTGCAGCCAGGAAGAGTCTCACTTCTAGGTTTACCACTCACTTGCTGTGTGATACAAGGACATTTATTTCTTCCTAAACTTAAATTTTCTTATCTGTAAAATGGAGATAAATAATATTTTTGTCACAGGATTAGATAAAGAATAATATGAAAAGTATCTAGTGTCTGGTAAAAAATGGATCCTCACCAAATAGATGATATAATGACAAGGACAACAATGCTGAAATGTTTATCATTTAGATAATCTTAACAGCTCAACCCTCCCTTTTGCTCTACGATGCCCGAGTTCAAAATACTTTTCTTAAAATTTATATTTCATTCACAATCATTTCTATTTCAAAATCCTTCCTTTCCCTGAAAATCACAGCTTCATGGCATTCATTAATGATGAGGCAATTCCCACCACCATGACAGCCTTGGTCATGAACTACTTGCAGATTCAGCTTAATAATGACTGACTGAGAATGCATCAGATGCTAGGCATTATATACACAGAAATTTTAGGAGATCACATGATGACACCCTCTAAACAGGAGCCTGAGGAACAGCAGCTTCAAGTGAGAAACTTTTCACAGGGCAAATAACATCTAAAATACCAACCAGAATACACAGTAATGCAATAATGGCCAAATGAATTTTAGTTGTATAATGTTCTCTCTTTTCACATTGTTTTCATAGCACACATTTCCAGGTTTCTATAAAAATCAGCCAATGATGAAAAGCAACATTTGTTATCTTAGTTTATATTAGTAACTCGATTTCCCCTAGGACTGCTATAGATGTGGAAGGGGTTTGGGACTGAATTAATGAAGCTATTTGGATAACAGCTGAAATAAGATCCAGGAATGAAATAATGTATCTATAAATCTTTTTCTGTGTCTTTAGATTCTGCAATCCCTTGAGCTACTTTCTTGGTACCTGGAGGAGAAAATGATTATTTTAATTTTAAAAAGCCAGTAGGTGTAAATATATGCTGAGCCTTAGAAACAAGCCTTAAATTTTTCCAAAGATACTTCATATATTTCAGATACAAAAATGTAAGATTTTTTGCACTGCCAATCTTCTAATAAAGACTTAAAGAAAAGAGAACATTTAAAAATGTTTATTCATCATCCATTTCTTCAGCAAATGTAAAGGTAGAGTCTACAATCTATAGGATCCTATATGGGGTGGGGTTGGCAAGTGCTTCAGTCATGGTCTGTGCCTTCAAGGACATCACGGGCTGGGCATGGAGTGTGGACTTGCACACCAACACCGCCGACGTGTGGTGATGGTTAACTGATCACTTACAGATAACATGCCATGACAGCTCATAGGATAAAGCATTACATAGAGCTGGGTTTTGTTACCGAAGAATGAGGTTTGAGTTGACCCCTGAAGATGGGAAGGAGTGGACACAGAGAGGAGAAAGAACATCATATGCAGTGGGAACAAACATTTCTGAAGGTAACAAATTCTGCTGAGAAGTGACTGATGTGAAACTTTGGGAAGTAGTCGTGAAAAGGCAGATTGGTGTTGGATTGCAGATTCATACTCTGGGTCATGACGGCTGGGCTCTATTTAAGAAACCCTCATTGTTTTTACAGTGCCTGACATATGCTACCTGCTGAATAAAAATGTGAGGAATGAAATGGCCAGAGCTTCACCTCGACCACGGACAGGCCATACCAGAGGCAGCAAGGCACACAATAGAATACTCTGCATTCAGAGTCTCCTCCTAATAATTAGCATGACCTTGGGTATATGCAGTATCTTGTCTGAGAAGGAATATTTCAATCTACACGATGGACATAATAACTATCTTATCTAACGGGGTGTTTGTGAGGTTCAAATGCAATCATCACTGTTGAAATGTACTGGAATAATAACGACGTTGTAACTAGCACAGAAGAGACCAGTATGACATCTATTAATTATTCCAATAAGAGGTGGTGACCACCTGAAGTGGAAATGGGGAGGCAGGGTCTGGTGTCAGGGGTAAAGGACAGTTCAAAGTTGAAGGCAACAGGGCCAGGACTCCAGGGCATCTCTATCTCTGAAATCTACTCTGATAAGTGCTGTGGACAAAAATCAAGCAGAGCGGTGGGATGGCGGGTTATAAGAGGGTGGGCAGAGAAACCATCTTAGAGGAGACGGCTTAGAGCTGAGATTTAAAGGAATGAACGCCTTCCAGGCAGAAAGAACAGAATGTACAAAGGTCCTGATGCAGGAGCTCAGTAACGATACTGAGTGAACAGTCTAGAAGCTCATTTGGCCACAGCACCGTGGCCATTGTCGGGGCAGCAGAACATGTGCTTGGAGAGATGGCCACAATCACATCAGGACAGTCCCATGGGCACAGTGGACTTAGGGTTTTACTGTGAATGTGATGGGCAGGCAGATGGTTTGTGTCTGAAAAATGTTAGAAGGATCACTCTGGCTGCTGTGTGAGAATCAGCTGAGAACATTCTAGACATTGAAGACTGATAGGAATAGGACTGGGCAGGAGGCTGCTGCCTGGAGGCACCATGAGGGATGATGGTGTTTGAACAAGAGAATAGAAGTGAGGGATCTGTGAAGTGATCGGATTCAAGGTCTAGCTGGAGGTAGCGTCAGCAACGCTGCTGATGGATTAGATGGGGGCCTGTATAAGAAAGACAGGAGTCAGATAGGACTTGAAGATATTTGTCCTTAGCAACTGAGAGAGCAGTGGTGCTGTGCTCTGGGGTAATGGTCTCTTCAGGGAAGGGCAGGTTTGGCAGGAAGTATTTAGAGTTCTATTTGGGACATGTAATATTTGAGATGCTAGTTCCCCATCCTACTATCCAATGGGTAGCTGAATATACAAGGATGGAGAAAGGGAGAGAAATAGGGCTGGAAATATCAATTTTGTAGTCATCCATGTATAATATCACAGAAAGCCATGGGCACGAATGACAATAATTTAAAAGGTATAATAATAGAGAAGAGTTTTAAAATGAGATATGGGTGCTCAGTTCTTGGGTTGCTGGGAAGATGAGGAAGAGTCGTCAGGGCAGCCAAAGAGAAGTGGCCCATGTGGCCGGTGTGCATTCGGCGGACTCTGATGTCCCAGAAGTCATGAAAGAAAATGACCATGTCATTTGGGGATGTGAGGATTCTTGGAGTCGTTTTGAAGAGTGGTAGGAGGAAATGACAGGCTAGAGTGGGAGGTGAGCATGGAGAGATGCTGAGCCTAGATATTTTTTGAGGCATTTTTAGTAGAAAAAGAAAGAGAGAATTTGGGTAGTAGATGGTAAGTGTGAAGAAATATGGAAGGTTATTTACGAAATAATGTAACTTGGGAGATGCTACAACAAGATTCTGTCTGATACGAATGAATTACCCAGTATACGTCCTCTTATTAAATATTTACAAAACTCTATATGGTAGGTGTTATCACTATTTTAGGGATGAGAAAATGGATTTGCAAGGGAGACACATGGTCCAAGACAGCATGGGAACTGGTGGAGCTGAGAAGGAATTCCAGCTCAACTGAACACTACAGTGGAAGCTTGAGTACATATACAATGTCACCACCAGAGTACATTTACAATGTCAATAAAATCATTTTTTAACTCACATCTGGGAAGCAAGATAGCACCAGACTTTGGGTTAAAGGAAAAATCTCCAAATCTCTTATTAGTTGAAAAACCTTGCTTTCCTTTGTTTTGTTTGTTTATTTGGTTGTTTGCTTGTTTTATAAGTTACTGATGGAAGAGAACATCAAATATTCGCCAGATACATGTGCAGAACATTTCAGAGCTAGGGAGGTGGCCAGGAGAAGTTTCAGAAGGGAGAGTGAAGTGAATGGGCCCAGACACTTCAAGGACATGGAATTTATTTAACTAGAATGTCTGAGTAGGAATAAATGAAGGCAGAAGAAAGTTGAAAAATTTTGGATGATCTAGTTAAAGGCTTTGAAGCAAAGAGTGAGGATTTGGACCTGCTTCTCTTTAGAGTGAAAGCTACTCTGAGATCAAAGCCATAGGTGAAAAGAAAGGTTGACAGCAGCATGGAGAATTGATTGGAAAAAGGTTTTGATGGAGGCAGAGAGTGCCAAAAAGAAAGAGTGGATGTCAGCTCATTCTTCTGGTAAGTAATTACAATAATGACCCTATGCTAGCACTGTTGAAAACTAAAGATTAGAGTCCATTATTACAATAGAGCTATTTTTACACGAGAAAAAATCCCAAGGTTTAATCGAAACTGTTCATACTGAAACTATGACAAGCCAATTGTTCCTAGTACTTTTAATAAGAAATATACATGTTATAACAAAACCTATCACTACAACTGGGAATAACACAGAGCATCCCACCTTACTGATGGCATATCAGTAGCATCACCTTTTACATAAAGAAATTCTGTCTAATTCACAAAATATACTATTTTTAGGGAATAATAAAATATTAGTTTTGTTGTTGTTGTTTGGCTTTTACAGACTGGGTCTTCCCCTGTCTCCCAGGCTGGAGTGCAGTGGCCTGATCATAGCTCACTGTAGTCTCTAACCCCTAGGCTCAAGAGATCTTCCTGTCTCAGCCTCCCAAAGTGCTGAGATTACAGGTTTGAGCCACCAGGACTAGCTAAAACACCGCGATTAAAGGCACAGAAAACATTTTTACTTTTATTCCCGATTAGTTGTCCTAACTGAAATTTTAAAAGAAGTCATTGAATATGGAATCTGAGAAATTAGAACAACAGTAAATTAGATCCTAGCTCTTCAGTGGGTTGGAAGGTGCATACTTCATTCACCTATTAAGCTGACATTTATTTATACCTACAGACTGACTGAGGCAACAGAAAGAGAAAAAGTGCTTTTTGATAATACACTGAGGCTCAAAATTTTAAATCAGAGTTGAAATCATCACTTCACAAAGTCTGCTGGAGTGCTGAGGCCATCTGTCTCCTTGCCCTGACTCTTGTCTCCACGTCAGTGACAGTGTGTGTAGCTGACTGTGGATCTGCAGATGAGAGGGTCTTTGCAATGGGCTGGTCAGAGAAGGTAGAAGGTGAAAGGTGAAAGGTGAAAGGCTGAAGGAATGGGGGAGGGGAGGGGCCATTTTCAGTCTCCTTTTCTGACATTACTGATCATTTCTGATCACAAAAGTAAGGGACTCCTTGGGATTGCAAACCACTTTATTTAAAGAACAAAATAAAAGTCATATTAGGATGAACTAAGTAATATATTTACATTCTACAAAAGCGCTCAAAATACAGTCTTTATTCAAAAGCCCAAGTCAGATGGATTTTCTCACTGAAGCCTTGCTGAGTCCCTCAACTGGAGTTCACCCTCAGCCCTGAGTCCCCCAGAATACATTGTACATATATTTTAGGAAAGAAACATGTTCTACTTTCTAAATTTCTGTTAAAACATAATGTATTTATGTATATATAAATATATATAAATAAATATATTTTTATAAATTGTAGATAATCTACAGAATTTCTATAATATAGAAATTGTATAGGTATAATTTTATATATATTGTGTGTTCATATATACATGCATATCTCACACAGGAACAGGAAAAGGAACATCCAGGAAAAACTTCTTCCCCTTTAGTAGGATTCACTTAAGGAGAACTCAACGATTTGATGCATTTCAGCTGTTTGAATATAACTTAGCTACTCAGTAATACATATGCAAGTATTTTAATTCTTTTTGAATCAGCCCAAGTAAGCCTTAGGTTCTGAATTCTGCCTTGTGTAAATGTCACCTCATTTATTTACTAGGTGCAAATAATACACTGCTAAGCGATATGTGTTGGCTTCCAAGCCATCAGTTATGGGTTTAAATTTGGAATCTAGAATTTACCAGGTATGTAATTTGGAGTAAGTTAATTTAATTTCCTAGGCATAAGTTGCCTCATTTCTTAAAATGGGGTCTATGCCTCCTTGGATTGTTGAGAAAATGACATGGGATGATATTTGGCAAGTGTTCATTAAATGGTAGCCTTTGTTTTCAGCATCATCACTGTGATCAGCTGAATTGCTGATTTTCACTTTAACTACAGGAAACTTGAGTGGAAAAGTCTGAGTCATTTATGTACTCATTACTTCAGCGGATCAATTCCAAGTAACAAAGCTAGGGCCTCTGCTTATTGTTTATTGTCAGTTGCCTGAAAGGGAAATGTAGAGGAGGCCACTTCATGTAACAACACAGATAACTCCAAAATAAAGGAATTTTATTTATTTATCCACATTTATTAAAATATTTACTTTGTAAGTATAAAAATATTTAAAAATAATTAAATATAATTTTATTTATGAAGTGGGCAGATGTATAAAGAGGAATGTGTGAAAATGTATAGAAAAAGGATTTATCTTATAAGTACCTCATTTTTAATGAGACTCTAAAAGAAACACTCAATCTATTCTAAGAAAAATATAGTAACATGACTATCAAAGAATCATTTATTAAAAGCCTTCAGCTTCAAGTGGGTTACTTTTTAAAATAAATGATTTTATTTCCAATTAATTTGGAGGTCTGGCTGGGAATATAAAAGAATATTATTGTGTTGCACAGGCTTAGAAATCAAACAAGTCTGGACTGAAATCATGACTTGCTATTTACCAGCTACTCAAACTTTCTTGGGGTCAGTGTCCTTATTTATAAAATGGAGGCAATATTAGTATATATTTAAGCAAATGTCTGTAGAGATTACAGGAAGCAGGTGAGGTACCTAAAACTACCTGAGACACCTAGTTCTTCACTTTAAGGGTTATCTGCTTTGCTAATTTCTCTCACACTATAAGCAGCTAGAAAAATAGAGAAACAACTGTTTTCTGACTGTCTCAGTCTGTTTTGTGCTGCTATAACAGAACTCCTGACACTGGGTAAATTAGGAACAGAAATGTATTGGCTCACAGCTCTGGGGACTGGGAGGTCCAGTATCAAGGTGCTGGCATCTGGCAAGGTCTTTGTGTTGTGTCATGACATAGTGAAATGCATCACATGGCAGAATGGCAAGAGAGAGCAAAGGGGGCTGAACTTGCCCTTTCATAATGGGTCCACTCCTGAGATAACAAACTTACTCTAGGACATGAATCCACTCATGAGGGCAGAGCCCCGATGGCTTATCGCCTCTTAAAGGTCCCATCTCTTCACACTGTTACAATGGCAATTAAATTTCAACATGAGTTTTGGAAGGGACAAACATTCAAACCATAGTGGATATATAGAAGTTATATATATAAAATACATATGATTGGACTGAGGTAATGCGGGACTGTGATCCCGACGTGAAGGAAACCTACAAAGATTTGGCCTTGTTAGCTATAGCAGAGGAAGGGAGACACCAAACAAAGCCTAGAAGTCTCGGTGAACTGGGGAACCACAAATCGAAGTTTAGGGAGGTTAAGGAAACTAGAATTTTCAGGACACAATACCTAAAAGAAGTGACTTGCACAGAGAGAGTTCTGGAAATTTGCGGATAGACTACCTTGAATCTCTGGCTGAATATTATTTTTCCGTACATGCATGGGGTTAACAATTCTCAAAGCTCACACGGAGGTGGGATATTTTGCATTCCCACCAGACAGAGTGGAGAGACCTTATGGTACTTGAGGCATCTGGTAGAGTTGCCAGAAGACTACTGTCATCATGGTGGGGCTAAATTACCCATAGCATTATGGCTCTTCTGGATGCCCCAGCAAAGCATAAAAGCAAGTCTCAAAAGGAATTGATGTCGACTAGCTCAACTGTTGCCTGCATAAAGACAAACTTTTTTTAAACAGAATGCTACAAAATCCACCACCTAATGTACAATGTCTGGAATCTAGTAAATCACTATGAATCGTGCAAAGAAACATAAAAATAGGAACCACAACCAGGAGAAAAATCAATCAATTAAAAAAGATCCAGAAATGACAGAGATAATGAAATTCATAGTCAAGAATATTTAGCTACTATTACAAACATGCTCCATATGTCCAAGGAAGTAGAGGGAAAGAGGATCATGATGAGGAGAAAAGTGAGTGTTGAAAGTCTCAAATGTAATATATGGAGAGAAAAAAATACCATATTTTCAATAAAGATACACTAGAGAGATTAACAATTGATTAGATAATGCAGAAGGGAAAAAGGCAGTGAATGTGAAGAAATAGCAAGAGAACCCATTCATAACTCATCTCACCAAGAAAATAGGGCCAGAGTATCAGTGACCTATGAAGCAATACCAAGTGGTCCAACACAGGAGAAATTGGTGCTGCCCATCCAAGCAAGGAAATAACAAGGGGAGATAAAGCAAAGCTTGAGAATTTTTAGAAGTTGGAAGGTAACTAAGAGAAAGCAAGAGTGGGGGCTAAGAATGATGGAAGACATGATCGATGCCTTCAGTCCTTCCTTGATACCCAGAGATGGGCCATTACCTCCTTAAAAAGAAGTTTAAAGTAATGAAACTCAATTTGACACAATACTGAAAAATGGAGTTGTATTCATGCATATATTGTACATTTTGCTGTCACTATTTTAGGGGATGGTGGCAGAAACCAAAGGAGGCTCTTAATGCCTTTGGCATCAACAATGGTGTTTCCTTGGCATCTACACTAACACGCCTTAATTAACCTATCACCATCTTAAGTCCTTGTAGATTAAAATTGGGTGAAAATTTTTAGAATAAGTATCTACAAAAATATAAAGCCTTCCCTTGAAGAGCGGACAACTGTGGAAATATACAAAGAATGGAAAAATCCACTAACAAGTGACGTGACACAGAAAGACGAATACAGGCACAGGGAAGAGACAATTTGAACAGAGGCTTATGAGGACGTCGGGTGTGGGAAGGGCCCACTGCAGGGTAAAGAGAATCAGCATGGCAGTATGATGGAAACACACCCATAGCACTCTCCACAGCATCACAGTCATCTCCATGTATGGGCCATGGTGGTCAGTTTGCCTAAAACTAGCACTGGGAATGACAGCTTGTTCTCAGCTTAGCTGTGGACTCACACTGAGAGATTAGGTTTCATAAAGCAGAAACGTACATCAGCCTCAGAGGACATGAGTAAAAAGTATAAAAACAGACCCGCACCTATACATAGGAATAAAATGAAGTATCTGTAGGTACCAGTTGATCTGAAATGGCCCACTCCAACGAACAGAAGGTGCCTGCCTGCAAGCCTACTTTGAGTTGTTTTAAACATTATGAACCTGACAGAGCGAGACTCCATCTCAAAAAAAAAAAAAAATTATGAACCTGCCAGGATACTGAATAAATGCTACTTAGTACAAATGTCCAAATATAGGAAAGTCCATTATATTTTTGGAAACTTAATGTCACCAATGACTTCATTTATTAAAAAGGCACTCTGCATGTGAGATAAAGTTGGGTATTTGAATGATTTTAAGTCACTAAATAGTTCTGTGAAAACAGTTCAGCAGAATTAGCTATTAGAATAAAAGCATTGTCCTTGATAATATGATTCTGAACATTCAATTGGGGATTGCATTATGATTCAGTTTTCGCACTCTAAAATCCAACTTCCCTTTTAGTTTCCTGTTTAAAATTATAATTTCTAAGACTAAGAGCCACAATTGCCCTTCTAGCCTTTTGCTTTTCATGATAATTTAGAAAAAAAAGAAATTGAGAAACATATGGCAGGTAATCATTTGCAAACACACGACTCTTTCAATGCCTGCCATGTTCAACTTCATTTTATAGCATCTATCTTGGCAATATAAATTGTGTTTGGCTGCAGAGGTATGCAGTGCAGTACAATGAAGAAAAGCAATCGTGACAACTGAAAAATAAACAACAAATGTGTGTTTGTGAGGGAGAGAATGTGTGTGTGTATATGTGTGTGTGGTTTAGACGGCACCAGCTCTCTGCTTTTCCGGCTTTCTTCCAAAGGGGAATGGTGTTATTTTCGTTGGTTTCCTTGTTCCCTTTTACAGCAAAGCAATGCCACTGGAGGAAAGACAATTGCCACATCTCAGAGGGTTGCCAAATGACCTCAAACCAGTTCAAAAGGAGCGCCCTCACCAGTTCCACAAATGAAAGCAATTTAATGCAGGTGGATTGGGTCAGGAATATTTACTATTATAAAGGCCATGTTTTTTGAAACAAGAGCCTACATTATATTAATTTTTAAAAGTGGTAGCACAGGAAGACTGTAAGATTATTTATGATGGCCGGGTGCAGTGGCTCACGCCTGTAATCCCAGCTCTTTGGGAGGCCGAGGCGGGCAGATCACAACATCAGGAGATCGAGACCATCCTGGCTAACACGGTGAAACCCCGTCTCTACTAAAAAACACACAAAAAGTAGCCAGGCGTTGTGGCGGGCGCTTATAGTCCCAGCTACTTCGGAGGCTGAGGCAGGAGAATGGCGTGAACCCGGGAGGCGGAGCTTGCAGTGAGCCGAGATCGCGCCACTGCACTCCAGCCTGGGCGACAGAGTGAGACCCTGTCACCAAAATAAATAAATAAATAAATAAAAATAAAAATAAAAAAGATTATTTATGATATAGTGACTATTCAGAATGAAACATGCTAGCATACTCACGTTTTTGTAAACTTTGACTTTCATGCAACTTCCCCAAAATTCTCTCAAAAGTAAGTTTTCTGGGTTTTTAATAAAAATTATCAAAAGTATCTAAGATTCAAAACTTTGAAAGTATATAACTAAGCCTTCAAAATCAAATCAAATTTACCTAATGCTTTATTTTTCAATGGGTTTTGATAAACCAAGTTAAATATATTTGGAATACTTCAACTGTGCAATCTACAGTTTAATGTATTCAGAGACATTCTAGCTCAAATAAGTGCAGTCACTTGTCTTACTGTTCAATTAACATTCAAATTAACCATTTAAATTTCAACATATTTTGCTTTATTGATTATGTATTTTAAGACAACATAAAAATGAAAGAAAACATGCTTGATTTGGAGGCAATACATGCAAATTACCCATGGCAGTCAATATTGGTAATAGAGAAACTTAAAAAGCATCCAGTTGATTTCAAATAAATGTAGAATACTGCTATATAGTATACTTTGCATAAGTGGTATATACTGTTGGGAAGTAGGGGGAGCAAAAGAAGCTTATGTACATGGAGTTAACACACACGAAGAGCAGGTATAAAGAAATAGCTGCCCATTGTCCCATTTGATGGAAGTAGCCTTTTTCCCTAGAGAAGAAGCATTAAAGGAGAGTCAGTCTAACCAGGATTATTTGTGTGTTATCTGTTCTGAAAATAGCGCACTCAGGCAAGATGATCACCAAAACCTTTCCATAAATATAGTCTGCAATGCACCATTGTAAGCTGTCCCGTTTACTATTTTGACTCATATTAAATGCCAAGAGTATGTAAACACATGATCACTTATATTAATATCCATGCATAAGCTGCTTAAAAGATTTTAGTTCACAAAACTCAGATACGAAACTGCAATAAGTCTGAAAAGCAGTAAGGCAGGAGAGAAGGAGAGTAGCCAATTAAGAAATGGATAGAAAAAAAATGAAAATGCATAGTGAGAAGGGGTATTATACTGGCTAAATGTACAACCCCAGGTCATGGGGTTACCTGCACCAGAGAATTCCAGATGCTAGCCCTGGCTCATGCAGCACAGATGGCAGCCCAGTGGTGAAGAGCCTGCATCCGGCAGTCAGACTTCCTGGCTCCACATCCTGTCTCTGCCAGGTACTTGATGTATGGCTTTGGTCAAGTAAGTTAAACTCTCTCTGCCTCAGTTTCCTCATTTGAATAATGGAGATGAGCATCGTTCCTCCATTATAGGCTTGTTATGGAGACTAAAGCAGTTAATGATCATAAAGGTCTTAGAACTGTGGTGGGAACATAGTAAGCGCTATGTGTCTCCTAGCCGAATGACCATCCTGACCCCCTGGATTTTTTATTTATGCAATAAAGATAACAACACAGACCTCAAAAGGCACTTATAATCAAATTATTTGAGTTAATATTTGTACAGCATTGCCCACAGTGACCAAAATAGAGTAAACAAACAGTAAACAGTAACAGAATCAGTATTGCTTTAGTGAAGAAACAGCTAAGATTTAATAAACACCTACCATGCTGAGCACTTTACATTATTAATTCATTTTATCCGCTAACAACCATGTTTGAGGTAGATTTTATCATCATCTCTACTACAAAGATGGGAAATTGGAAACAGGTAAATAATAATGATAAATACTACTAGTCTGAGGAAAGCTACTAGAATTGAATAAAAAATTACTTATAAACCAAGGCAATCAACCTAATTAATTAGCCTTTGGACTTTTTCTCAGTTAATTCCCAATTTTGTGACTGAATTGGTCAAGATGATTTGCAGTGTTGGCACGTAATACATGGCCAATTGTTCTAGGAGATGTTCTTTATTTATTTATACATGTGAGAATTACTGAACACCTTGGCAGAGGCCACTAGCTAGTTGTCTTGGTGATACATATTTTTCTCCTTCTTCCTTGTTGAGTAATGAGATATTTAAGGTGGTAAAATGGCCACCCACAACACTAGATTTCCAAGTCTCCCTTGCAGCTAGAAGTATCATTGACTAATTTCTGGCTAATGAAATGTTGGCAGAAGGTTAAAATTATTCCTTAAATGCAAAGAATGAAGCTGGCTGGTACGAGTCTTTATCAGCAATTCTCCTTTCTTCTTCTTGCTTGCACTATGGACTTGATGGCTGATGTGCCATAGAATGTCTTGGACCAAGAGGTGACCTTGGGAAAATAGCCATGCACTATAAGGGCAATGAGGCAGAGATCCTGGTTCTCAGTGGTGATACATGGCGGCTTTAGACTACCTATGACCAGACTTCTACTACAGAGAAAAATGTACACTTCTGTCAGCTTTAAAATCACTGGAATTTTTGGACTTTGTTCCTAGCAGGTGAATACAATTCATGCTGATATGAGCAGCCATATGAACTGAACATCAAGGGCAAACAAGATACATTTGAAGAAAATAAGAATGCAAATAATTAAATGCAATAAAGCATTGCACATATTAGGTAATAAATAGCACAGGGTATAATGAGATTGCCCAGGAGAAAAGTGTTTATTCTGTCTGCATGGGTTTCTTAGAGGTGATGAAGCTTGAATTGAGTCTTGAAAAATGAGAAGGCATTTGATTCAAGAAGACAGGAGTGAAGCGACGGGCTGCAGCCATTCCAGGCACAGAGAACTCATGGGGAAAAAGTCACAGAGAGATATGAGTAATTAGATATTTCTGAATCAAACTGTTATTAGTCATTAGGGTCAAAAATATATAATTTCATACAGAACGGATGGCATATTTGATTGAATAAGACATTATAAAAATTATCTGGCTCATTTAAAGAAATCTACATATTCTTCTCCATGTAATATGCTTAAAAGTGGTTGACACTTAAGAAGGCAAAGAAAGGGGCTGGTGATGCGGCTTGCTATCACAGGCTCTCTCTCAAAATGTAGGTGCTCACTACCCCAGCTTGACCCTGTTACCGCGCACACTTGGTTGAGGTTAACAAAGCGCACTTGGAGAGAACTTTAAAGGCAACCTTTAGAAAAGCACAAATCTCCAATAAATTAATATTCTCCCATCATGATAAAAACACATAAAATATGCAAGATGGATTTTAATATTCATGACTCACATCTTTCAAAAGATTGGTGAGATATCAAATGTGATACGATAACAAAAAAGCACTTTGTAGAGGTGCTCAAAGTACTTTCAGCATTAATGAATTCTTATAATACCCTTGTAAGAAAGAATGGAGGCAGAGATTATTCACCATAACTTACAGATGAGATCGAGGTGGAAGGATGCTGTCAGAAGATCAGCTGGTGTAGGTTTATGGTGCTCCGAGCCTTCCTGGGAGCTGGCTTCCCTACAATGTCTGCAGTAGGTGCACACGAACTGTAGGACCTATGGTCACAGGCCCACCCCCAGGTCAACCTTTGGTTGTAGCTTCACCACTGCAGAGGGGGCATAATGACAGCTTACATAGTTGATTTCAGGAACTTTTGGTAGTTCTAATTGACTGCTGAGAATTGCACCAATTTTTAGCTTGGCATGAGCAAAAAGCAAACAGCTTGCTTGGGTTGCTAACCCTGACTGTAAAGCTTCGGCACAGTGGAAAGTCTCACACTGACAGGCCTTGGTGAGAGAACCACATTTGCTCCTTATCTAGTAACATTTAAGGCTACGGTGGAGTGAAACGACGAGGATGAACGTAAAAGGCCTAGTACATTAAGGGATGAGGAGCATAGCACCAACTCATCATTTTTAGTTCCCAGAACTTAATCAAGGATTCAGGCTTTCACACAGAACTCCCATTGGTCATTTCTTTTTAATCACTAATTATAAGAGAGATCACAGATTAAATTTCCAAAGAGGAAAAATCCCTGATGACTTCCTGTAGTCAAGGTATTCACTTCAACGCAATTTATTACGGAAATTGAACTCTTCTGATGATGATGGGTAAAAATAACCTTCAATTTCCCTTTTAGGTGTGTAGACATACAAGCAATCCCCACTTTTCTCAGCTTTGAATTTTGTTGCTCTCAGGGTTTAGCTGTTTAATAAAGACCTGGATGTCAACAGTTCGTACCAGTGTTCAAACAGATAAAGACAATACATTCAGAATAAGGATATGTAGAATAAAACACAGGGATTTCCCCAAATGGTGATTTGGGTGGTCTGGGGAAATTGTTCTTTTCCTGTAAGTAAGGACCATCTCATTATTTTGTGCTAAGCATAATGTCAGGCCCACTGTGCCTGGGAATATTTACACATTGGGGGGAATTATTGTTGCTAGTGGAGAGTCTTGCCTGCAAGTTGTCCAGGTTCTTGGTATTTTGAACAAAGAATTAGACAAATGCACAGCAAAGCAAGGAACAAATGAAGCAAAGAAAGCAGAGATTTATTGAAAGCAAAAGTACACTCCACAGTGTGGGAGTGGGTGAAGCAGCAGCTCAAGGGCCCCAGATAACAGAATCTTTTTGGGTCCAAATACCCCCAGAGGTTTCCCATTGGCCACTTGGTGGACATCTCATGTAAATACAGTGTTGGCCCGCAATCAGCATCCAGGTCAGCTTGGCTGCAGAAAGCAACCAATCAGGCTGAAGTGAAGTTACAAAGGTCATACTCCTAAACAAACATCTGATGGGCGGCGAAAAGCAACCAATCAGAGGCTAAAGTTACAAAGTTGCACTTCTATGCAAATGAAGACTTGGCCTGTAATCAGTCTGACTGGTTGCAGACAGCACCAATCAGAGGCTGAAGTGAAGATACAAAGTGACACTACTATGCAAACGTACTTTCAATTTCCCATCTGCCACACAGAAAAGGTTGGGGTTTGCAAAGGGAGTAGCCTATGGTCCTTTTGTTACTCAGGTGTGGAATGTTGGGGTTTTTGTTTCAATTTAGTTCTAGGAAGTCAGTGTGAAACGGCCTTAGGATCCCTGCCTCCAGACCCTATTCTCCCAACTGATTATCTCTTTTTCTATATAGCACCCACGTAGCCATCCAGCAAACATATGCTAAAGATAGTAGACTAGAGATGGACAGTCTGGCCCATGACGATGTCATTGAACAATTTAGTTATCCAACTCCAAAGCCTCTCTACCTCTGAACTCAGTTTATAATCTTTTGCATTTTTGGGGGTAATATCCAGGTTTGTTCAAGTGTGCTGTAAATTTTATGTTAACAAAACCTACCTTCCCTTTGGAAATCATGTAAGAAAACTAAAAATAAATGTTTAGTAAATATATATATATATCGATAGATAGATAGATATACTAAACATATATATATACGTATGTATATATACACATTATATATATATAAATTTTTTTTTTCTGAGACCGTCTTGCTCAGTCACGCAAGCAGGAATGCAGTTGCACCATCTCAGCTCACTGCAAGTTCCACCTCCCAGGTTCAAGTGATTCTCCCATCTCAGCCTCCCAAGTAGCTGGGACTACAGGCATGCACCATCATGCCTGGCTAATTTTTGTGTTTTTAGTAGATACGAGGTTTCACCATGTTGGCCAGGTTGGTCTCGAACTCCTGACCTCAGGTGATCCGCCCACCTTGGCCTCCCAAAGTGCTGGGGTTACAGGTGTGCCACCACACCTGGCCTACATTCTTTTTATTCCTCCTGGGCTCAAGTGATTCTCTTGACTCAGCCTCCCGAGTAGCTGAGATTACAGGCATGGGCCACCACTTCTGGCTAATTTCTGTATTTTTAGTAGAGACAGGGTTTCACAGTATTGGTCAGGCTGGTTTCAAACTCCTGACCTCAGGTGATCCACCGGCCTCGGCCTCCCAAAGTGCTGGGATTACAGGCCTGAGCTACCGTGCCCGGCCTTTTTTTATTTTGTCTAAAAAGATGCAGGGCTGGGTCCGGTAGCTCAGGCCTGTAATCCCAGCACTTTGGGAGGCTGAGGTGGGAGGATCACTTGAGGCCAGGAGTTCAAGACAAGGCTGGCCAATATGGTGAAACCTCATCTCTACTAAAAACACAAAAATTACCCACTGGCGTGGTGGCATATGCCTGTAGTCCCAACTACTAGGGAGGCTAAGGTGGGAGAATCATTTGAACCTGGGAGGTGGAGGCTGCAGTGAGCCAAGATTGTGCCACTGTATTCAACCCTGGGTGACAGAGGAAGACTCTGTCTCAGAAAAAAAAAAAAAAAAAAAAAAAAGATACAGGATCATACCACGTCTATGTTGGCTACTTCCAATCTCTTTCTTTAGTTGATTTTGTATTGATGTTGCAACCTCAAGGGAACAAACACAGGACATTCTCATGACATCTGACACAGGAAAGGGATTAGCAATGAATGTGACAATGTGAATATCATCTTAAAGCAGATCCAGCCTAGTGAGTTCTTCTCAGCATTCTGGACACCCTACTAAATATGATTTCATGATACCTTACAGATTTATATTTTTTCTTTATAAAATAGAAAGTAAACTTTTTAAGACTGAATGGACTTTTCATTTTAAGGTGCAGTTAGTATATAAAGGTAAGGGAAGGGTACTTCCAAACACAATTTTAAAGTCATACTCTTAAAAACGATATTAGCAATAACCAAAGAGATCATTTGTGAACATCTCGTATACAGCTATGATAAATTGACACTCACAGAGGCATTACAGGGTTATAATTTTAACCACAAAACATTCAATCAAGGTAATTATATTCTACTTGTCCACAGAAATAACTTATCAATAAAGAAGTAATGTAGACAGTCATGAACAGCATAAAAGAGAATTCCAAGGAGACAAAAATTACGCAATATTTCTATGCGAAAAAATTACCCAGAGATGTCCTCAGCCCCAAGTCGACAACCAGCATGGAGGACCCTATAATGACCTGTCTCAGTCAGCTACATCAGGGCACCATAGTTCTGGTAACATCACTGCTTAACATAATCCAGTTGACTAGCCTTGTAGATTCTGTGCCTATAAAACAACCATTGGATAACAATTGAGCTATCCAAAAAAATTTATCTATAAGTAGAGAATGTGCTGATGAGTAAACATTAGTATCTTCTCCCTTTGTTAGTTTTGGTTCTTATTCTACTTTAACCAACCAGTATTCCACCTTTTAAACAGAGTTATCTGATGAGTTTGACCCTCGTGATTCAGCTCTGCAAAGGCTGATGACTTCTGAATTCACCAGCGTTTGGGTTTCCACGCCTAAGAGCTTGAAAAAAAAAGACTTTAGAACATGGGGACCATTCTGTCACCAGTGAGAAAACTAAACTATCAAGATTAAGTCATGGAGATTTTGAGGTCCCTGTCACAGCAGCATAACTTGTAGCCTAATTCACATATACTACCTCATTCAATCCTTAAAAGGTCCTATGCAGGTAGCACAAAAACAAAAAAATAGTAAAGTCCAAGGTGATATAAGCCAGATTGAAACAAACAAACAAACAAACAAACAGTGACCACATATTTAAAATGTGGAAAAAAGCCTAAAATAAAGGAATAACATCTAAGCAAAGGCCTGAAAGAAAACCATAATATGAAATATATTTTTAGTCTTCCCTGCAAAGAGCCAAAGAGCTTTGGGCAGTAGAATTCTGAGATGGGCCAGCAGTCAGGAAATTAGGAAGTTCTCAGATACAAGACAAAAAGTTCAAGGATGGGTAGAAATTGAAAGGGAAAGAAAAGTTATAATAAAGCCTCCTTTTATACTTTCTGACAAGACAAAAATTGACATTCTTTTTTAGACAATTGCAGGTTCAAGTGTGTTTACAAGTATGGTTGCTCATATGTGTGGCCAGGGTGGGGGTACTTACGGGACAAACAGATTCTTCTCATTCATTCATACTTAAGATATGGATTTCTTGGCACAAATAGGGTAGTGAGAAGTGAAATATTACTACAACCCTGTGTCTGCGTCTGACCATTTCTGCGGCTGTCACCATCTCCCAGTAGGACAATTCATTGTTACTTTGCACCTTCAAGGTCGTATTAGAGAAGAGGCAATAGCCAGGAAGGCTAGCTAGGCCTTAAAATATTGATTTATTTTATTTATAAAATAAAATATAAGACTTTACTTTCTTTTTTCTTCATAATTTTTTTAAGACAGGGTCTCACTCTGTCACCCAGGCTGGAGTGCAGTGGCACAATCTCTGCTCATTGCAATCTCTGCCTCCCTGGTTCAAGTGATTCTCATGCCTCGCCCTCCCTAGTAGCTGGGACTACAGGTGTGCACTACCACACCCAGTTAAGTTTTGCATTTTTAGTAGAGACAGATTGCACTGTGTTCGCCAGGCTGGTCTCAAATTCCTGACCTCAAATGATCCGCCTCTTCCAGCCTCCCAAAGTGCAGGGATTATAGGCACGAACCACCATGCCCAGCCAAGACTGTACATTTTTCAAAGTAAAATCAAGTCAAGATGGAAACCAGGAAGGTTGCCATCCTGTACTGTTAAGAGCAAAATGAAGGTCTTGAGGCCAAAAAGTGAGTGCAGACACTCTAAGACTCCAAAGTCTCCAGGGTCTGGTAGTTTCACTATCAGGGGCCAGAAATGCAGAAATAACCCGATCCTTGGGCTAGGAATGCGCAACTGTCTAGTGCCATGGTGAGGGACTGCAGCCGTCAGTGTCACTAACGTGGAAGGGCGAAGGCAGTCAAGAGACGGAAAGAGGGTCTTCAGGAAATGATACTGATGAAGCAAGAACAGGGGGCCAGGATTCTAGAGGTGCAGCAGGATCCAAGTTTCCTGATAAATAAACCCCCATGAATGAATGTTTTGTCTTGGAAAGCACTGTATGGTATAAAGACTCTACATTCCTGCATTTTGTCACAGGCCTCTAAATCCCCAACCTAGAGCACCTGGACAGATCTCACTTCTTCACATGCAGATTCCTGAATTCAGTAAAAAAGCCAATAGGAATTTAATGACCTCATTTCGTAGTAATATTCCCAATACCAAACACATCCACTACCATCGCCGTGTCTTTTTAAGAAAATAAATATGTGAGTAAATACAGAAACAGATGGATATTTTAAAAATACCTGACGGACAACAACAGTGAAAAGGATCGGTCACAGCAATAACTTAAGTGTGGGCTAATCTGTAATGGACATATGTATCCTAAGAAGACAGTGGCAAAATGTTTCTGATGTGAATTTAAAGTGTCTGAGTTTGGGGGCCTTCTCTGTTTCTGCTCCTGATTTATATGCTGTCTCCAGAGCATGAGGGTACAAATGATTTCTTGAGGGCAGAATCTTCCTCTGCTCCCGCACACAAGGCTTTGTTACCGCAGGGCTGCTCTAGAGCACAGAGCCCCTGGCAGGATTCGTCTCAGGTGAAAAGAACATCAAAGCTGTTACTTTGAAAAAGACGCACTCCAGAAAACGCAGCACAGTATGGATTTTGCAACAGATCTCACACCGGGGAAAAATAAATCCAGCTCAATTATATTTGGGTCCTGCCTTTACAAAGGCTCATTAACCTCTAAATCATTCAAAAGATGTAAAGGAAGAGCAAAACGAACTACAGCTTTCCCTGCCAGCTTTTTTCAAGGTGAAATATTCTTGGTGTTTGGGTACCTGGAAAGGAAGAAATGTTTAAGGAACTCTGGTTCTCTGATATTGACACAGACAGGAAATTGGATGTATTTATCTATTTTAAGGAAACTGTCCAGTGTTATTTATTCTCCCCCACCACCCCACATCCTATGAGGTGAGTCAAGCAATTATTGAACCTCAATTCATGGTCGTTGAATACTATGAAAAAATGCTCAAATGTCACCTGAGACTGTGGGCTATATAATACAATTGAGTTTCTAATAAAAGTAAAAGAGAAATTGGCAAAGCATAGGAAAGCCACTAGTGAAGATCTATATGAGGCAATAAAGACAGCAGGGACGATCCTAAATTAAGAAGAGAAAAAAGGGAAGAAAATCAGAGGCCGTCCACAATACTGAAGAATGTAAGAACTGAAGATGATTCAGCAGATGACCTGAAATTTCCTCTGTCTTGAATTTTCAAGAAACAGAATGTGCTCTCCACACTCGTAAGTGGGTCAGAGGGTGTTCCCACTGCATGGATGGGCAAGCTGGCTGGCCGAGAGTTTGTCTCAAGGTTTGGCTCCATCAGACAAACAGGTGCACCAGCATTTCCCTCCACCATTCCCAAGGGCACCTTCTTAGAAAATGAAATTTCATGCTCAGTCAAACTTTAGAAACATATGATTTAAACATATGCCAGTCTCTTTCTACATATTTGCAGCTTCGCAATTCTTCACCTCCCAGTCCCTTTCTTAAAATAGCTTGTGGTTGAAGCTAAAATGTTTAGTTGAATAGTCATCTTTTCCTCTTCTTATCTAGCCTATAGAAATCTCTCATGAGGAAACTGAGCAGCCACAAGAAAACTGAGTTAGTGACGATTTATAATGTGATATTTTGATGCCTGAGACTATTTTCAGAATTACAAGAAAATTTTCCTTTTCCAAACACACAGTCTTCCAGAAAAAAATCTACCATGGACCATAACCAATGAACACTGGCTGATTCACGTCTTGCCAGTCCCACTTTAAGAAAAAGAAAGAGAGACAGGGTATGTGAAAAAGTTATAAAGATAAAAATATCTTCGGAGGACATAAGGTAATAATCAATTTTTTTATTCACATAGGGTAAGAAATCTTTTCTATAAGGTGAAAAGTGTAAGAGACATAAACTGCCCAGAGTTACAGGATAATTAATTTACACTGATTATTTTACTAAAACACAAACATAGAAAGTGCTTGTGAAAAACATTATTTAGCAAAAAAAATCAAATAATTATAATGCTTTATGTACCCTTAAATTAGCAGCAATCCATTACAAACAACAGATTTTATATTAAGGGTCCCACATGAGCTTCTAATAACAAAGGTCACTTTTTACTAAGACATAACTTGTGGCTGCTCAACAGTAGAATTGGAAAGAAAGGCTCTTCTCTGATTTTACCTTCCCAAACTGATGCATGCCAATGAAATAAAACGTTATCCTGCCAAATGCAAGCAACCCTGGGGGAGCTTTTCATTGATTAAGTAAGGTCTTATTGTGATTGGCTCACATCGTTTCCTAGTATTTCACAATGTGTGTCTCCCAAATTTTCCAAATCCTTCCTAATTTTCATCCAAAGTCACCTCAAGCTTCTAGAACCAGTGGAACTACTGTTCTCCATGACACCCTTCCTGAATAGCCTACCTCAAGCTCACCAGGCCCACTCAGCCACATCATAACTTCCATCTAACTGGCCCGCTATCATTTCTCTATAGGTAAGCCCTATCTCCTCAATCAAGGTCATTGAAATTAAGTGAAAATGATTGAAATGACCAAGGCATCAGGAACAGTAGTTTACAGTTCTTCCACATGCATACTGCAGGAACACAATATAAATTTCATGATAACAAGTGATCCTCTTGGGAGGAAGGAAGACTTGGTATCTGCCAGGAATATGAGTGGTATCAGCCCCAGAAGAATAACAAGGTGACGGTGAGGACACACAAGACCAATTTCCCAATATTGTCAAGGAGAGTGTGGTCTACAAATGAATAGAAAGCAGCATTTTAAAAATGATATAGACTCAACTAGGAAATATCAGATTGTATCTCATAGAAAGAGTAAATTGTTTGCTGAAATCTTTGTTTCAGCTACATATATGTGTGTGCTGGATCATGATGTGAAATCTATTTCTTACTCTGGGACAAGGTCAGAGAGGTTTAAAATGCACTGCTTTAATTTGTCTCAAAATGTGTTCCACAAAAAAGCAGTTCCACCAATGTGACCTGCAGAAAAGGGCTCCAAAGTCGATGATGTTCAAAAATAGTAGATTAAACCAAATTAAACAGATATTTTAAATGCCTGAATTACCAGGGCTTTTAAAACGTTAATATGATCACAAGTGTTCAAGGCTAGAAAATAGTATTGATGCAGGATATTTTCTTGACCCCTTCACAGGACCTGTGACAGAGCTGTCCCGTTTACTCAGCCCACCATGCTAAACCCCTCACAGGAGGGAGCGTGCAAGTGAGTGCAGGAACAAGCCTGCTCCTTCGGCACCAGCAGGAACAAACTCCAATTACTCACTTGGGCCTGCTGTGGCGCACCCCTTGCGGGAAGGAACGTGTAGGGAAGTGAGTGCAAGAAATGGTCAGCTGCTTTAGCCCCAGCAGGAGCAAATCATGTGTAGGCCCTGTGGCAGCATCCAGGTGGGGCTGACTGTGACCCAAAGGCCTCAGAGGGCATGTTACAATGCTCTCTTAGGTCTGCTGTCAGCAGACAACAGTGTGTTATCAGTTCAGCGGGCCCTTTGCCTCATGGAGTGCAGTGGCTTCCCTCTGCCAGTGAGGGCAAAGGGGCATTATAACAGCCTTTTGGGGTACCCGCACTTGTTGGGTCCTGAATTCTTGTCTGGTACACTGGAAGAATAAGGTTACCTAGACAAATGGAAGGATGATTAATGCGGACAATTTTATTGAGTGATGAAAGAGGCCCTCAGCAGAGGGGGAGCTGGAAAGGGGATGGGAGGGGAAGGTCACTGTCCCCCGAAGTCAGGTTGTCTCTCTTCCTTTCTCCTCCGAGGCCAGGTTGCCTCTCTATGACATTCAGCAGTGGCTCAGAAGCCAATTCACCTCTCCCCAATGTCCAGCCATTTCCCCTCTCTACCAGCTGAGCCTGGGGTCTTTATAGGCACAGGATGGGGGTGAGGCGAGCCATAAGTAGTTTGGAAAGGGCAGCATTCAATTGGTAAAAAGACATTATTCAGAAAGAAGTACTCGGGAGAGAGCGGGTAAGCAGGGGTAGAAGCTCTCACTTTGGGCCATGGGTTCAGGCTTTTTGGCTTAAAGGTGGGGCTTTGCCAGGGACCTGCCTTGTCTGCCAAGAGTTTCTCTGCCTCCTGTCTCCATCAGCATAAAGCTCATTCTAACTATATGGCCATGAAACCTAGGGCAGGTCGAGGAACTAGCCTCTCTCCCACCACACTCTGAAAAACAGTGGTCAAAGCCAGTGCTGCTGAAGACACCCGCATCGCCTCTGCATTTCCTGTCTGATTTCCCCTCTGACATATGACCGCCCTGCACAGCAAAGCCCATTCTAGATTACAGGGGAGTGCTCAGTAAGCAAGAAAAACACTGAGAACATCTGGGAGAAAAAAATAATAAGAAAATGCCTGAAAATTTGGTTTCATGTTATAAGGAATGGAAAATTCATTTCAATTCAGTCCCCAAATCTAATATAGGTTTCTCAGGGGACCATTTGTGAAGTAGATGTGTTACAATAAAAAATGTTAGTAGATCAAGAAAATACTGAATGGCCTACACTCTAGTGACACTAGTACAAAAGGAGAAAAAAAAAAAAAAGGAAAAGAAATGAGATGAAGTGTGTTTAAATGGCACTTGCCCAGGTCTGGTTATTATCCTCAGCATCTGTTAGTTCTGCTGAACTGCATTTGCCTTGGTACTAGTCACTACCATTAAATTTAGACAGTCTAAAATAATTGTTATATGAAATACAAGGTAGATAATTTGTTATTTAAGCATCAGAAAGTAAAAGAGCATCAGGTAGTAAAAATAATCAAAACAATTCATAATATTTTCTTTATGAACTCATGTACTCTTTCTTAATAGGAAGCCATGATTTTTATTTTTTATATGAATGAAAACTTGATACACATATATTTTCTTTCTTTGATAGATATTCTCTCTCACCAGTATAAAAGGAAATAGCTTAATTGAAAAATCAGGTTACCAAAATGAAGGACATTAATTCAACTCTGGATTTCAGGTGATGCAAAAAAAAAAACAAAAAAATTCAAAAAAAGCACAAAAAGGACTCTGAAGATAATTTATGTACTTTTCAGCAAAACACCCACAACATGACTTCTAGACTCTATGGTAAATCAAAGATGGAAAAAAAATAAAACCTAAAAAAAAAAACAACAAAATGACTTACTCAGCTGTTTCCATTGAAAAATTACTTCCCATTAGGAGATGAACAAAATGCAGCATTTGGTTAATCCCTGGCAGTGGCTTACCATTCTCTTAATACTTTCTTCTGCATCTACACAGTTCTTAGTCAGCACATATCTGATATTTTGCCATATTGCTATTTTAATTACAAAAAGCTAATCAAGTGAAAACTAATTTAAATAATCAAGTAAGTCAAGGGCAAATTAATCCTGATTCGTCTAATACAAGTTTATTACATCAAAATCCCTATCTACTCTCATCAGAGAATTTGGGATTGTAGTTGAATTTTCTTTTTAAGCAGCACTATGAGACTACCAGGAATACAGACAGAACTACTACTGAATTTCAACATCAGAGACAGCAAGCAGAATATCATAGATACAGACAGAACTAACACTGAATTTCAGCGTCAGAGACAGCAAGCATAATATCATAGTTTTATAAAAGTGATCTCAGAACATTCATAGTAAAGTCCATCAAGCGGAAAAGAACAGAACAGAATGGTCTCAAAGAATTAAAATGTTGACTATTAATCTCAATGCCCAGAAAAACTTGCCTTCATCCAATTCTAAGGAGCCACTTTTGAAGTCCATCATAAAAGCCACATTCTGTAAATCTTGACACTGGCTCAGTGCTCAGAAACTTTCAGTTAAGAAAAAAAAAAAAAAGAGTCAAGGGAAACACAAATTTGGCTAAAGAAGGAACTAAAACCAAAACGTGATAAGTGATTATAAAACCATTTTCAATAAGATGCATAGAATAAGGTACAATGTCTAAAGAATGCAAAAGGATGGAGGAGCCCAGGGCAACTTGCTTCTTTAAAACCATTTGATTTCTTCCAAACAGACAAAATTCAGGGAAGGAATAGTGGAAATGAGGAAAATGAGTCATAAATATATGCCTTCACCCACATCTCATGTTTCCTTGGTTAGACTAAAATATTTTAATATTTACATCCCTATGTACTGTATATATATTTTTGCTATGCCATCATAATCAAAACAACTAACACAGCAATATTGGATACCAATGACAGTCAAAGGCCACTGAATAGGCCACTGAATAATGGAATTGTATCCAATCGTCCAAAAGTAACATTACTTGATGTGTTAGTCAGGGTTCCCTGAAGGGACAGAACTAATAGGATTGATGTATATATGAAGGGGAGCTTATCAGGAGAACTGACTCACACGATCACAAGGTGAAATCCCACAATAGGCCATCTGCAAGCTGAGGAGCAAGGAAGTCAGTCTGACTCCTAAAACCTCAAAAGTAGGGAAGCTGACAGTGCAGCCTTCAGTCTGTAGCTGAAGGCCCAAGAGCCCCTGGCAAATCACAGATGTAAGAGTCCAAAAGTTGAAGAACTTGGAGTCTGATGTTCAAGGGCAGGAAGCATCCAGCACGGGAGAAAGATGGAGGCCGGAAGACTCAGCCAGCCTGCTCTTTCATTTTCTGCTGCTGCTTTATTATGGCCACATTGGCAGCTGATTAGATTGTGCCCACCCAGATTGAGGGTGAGTCTACCTCTCCTAGTCCACTGACTTAAAAGTTAATCTCTTTTGGCAACCCCCTCACAGACACACCCAGGAACAATACTTTGCATCCTTCAATCCAGTTAAGTCGACACTCAATATTAACCATCACCCTTGATTAGCAGACAATGTTCTCCCCCTTTGCACACAGGTGGAACAGAGATGGACATCACCCATTTGGGGTTTGTAAAGACTCCAGACCATGTGGCCCTATCTGGGAGCCTGATTTGTCTAAGCATCCCCTTGACGTTAGGCACTCAGGTCATCTCAAGCATTTCCCCATTGCAAATCACATTTTATGAATACCTGTATACATCAATCTTTCCATTTCTAGTTATTTCTTCATGGAAGAAGTGGAATAAAGAACTGAGTTAACAGGAATATTTTTAATCCTCTTGATACATTTTAATCTGGTTAATTAAAAAAAAACTACTGGCAAGCCACATTTTGCCAGTATTTTGTTTTTCCTAATCTCGGATTACCTTCCTACTCTTTTTAGTCTATTCTCTTCTCCTCTGCCTCTTCCCCACCACACCCCTGTACCCTGTGCTCCAGCTCCAAGAACCCTTCCTGCACAGAAAAGACAGGATGGCACTTTGCCCTTCCATGCTAGCTCCTGGCTTTGTTTCATTTTCACATGTAGTGCCTTCATGCCCTTCTCCTCTTGCTCTCTAACTCTCCTGATTACCCCCACCGAGAATGGCTCACTTCCTCATCAAGGTTACTAAGTGTTCTGTTCATGCCTCATTTGTAGCAAGCACAATTTACATTTTCTAGAAATATAAATTTGCCAAAAAGCTGCTCCAGCTGAAAGATGGTCTCTAAAAGTACTGACAAAAATGCAACTGGTACTGCAAGACCAGAGCTTAGAAAATGCTTCTGCACATAAAAGGCACTCTAAAGGAAATGCAATTAATACAGGGGAAATTCAAAAGACATCTTAAATGGCCTCAATTATACTCTTTCAGGATAATTTATAATCTGCTAATGATAAAATGCAGATGGCGGACTATATTAATTTCAAAATGCTCTACCGCAGTTTTACTAGATATTTCTGGGACTATAATGCAAAACCAACCCAAGACACATTCAGAAAGACTTCTCATTCCCTCCAACTACAGCCAAGTTGAATTCCTTACTCTTGTTAGGCATGCATACTGTGGATCTCAGGTTTTAATGTTCTCTGTATTTTATCAACAGCTTGTCTTCCATAATAATAATACTTTCAGTCCTCTGGTCTCAACATTTTGTTGCAACTTTGTTGAAACTTCTTAATTTAATATCTGAATTCATATTAAAGCCTTCTATGTTTCTTTGAGATTATTTTTTTGCTGGGAGTCTGCTGTTTTCAGCCACCTATCAGAAGGTAACTCATGAAATAGAGTATAATTGTCAGGGTGCGATAAGTTTTTGGCATATTTTCTATGTAACTGATAGGAAATATAATACAAGGCTGTTAAATAATGAAAATTTTAAAAAGGAATACCATTAGGAAGGTTTTCTGTTTGGGTGATGGATGTGATCTATCATATAGTTCTAAATAATAAATTCAGTTTTCTGTCTCAACGGTTGTTCTCTTCTTTCTCCTCAGGAAATGTTACACGCTGAGCCTCTGTCTCCCAGAACAGTGCTCCTGAATATTGAAAACATGCTGCCCAGATCTTTCTTTCTTCTTTGACAAAGGCTACTTATCTTGTAGAGTGTAAAAGACCAAAGCTTTTTGTTTGTTTGTTTGCGTTTTTTTTTTTTTTTTTCTTTTGGTTTGTTTTTGAGATGGAATCCCACTCTGTCGCCCAGGCTGGAGAGCAGCGGCACAAACTTGGCTCACTGCAATCTCCGCCTCCCGGGTTTAAGCAATTCTCCTGCCTCATCCTCCAGAGTAGCTGGGACTACACTTGTGCACCAGCACGCCTGGCTAATTTTTTATTTTTAGTAGAGACGGGGTTTCACCATGTTGGCCAGTCTGGTCTTGAACTCCTGGCCTGAAATGATCCGCCCGCCTTGGCCTTCCAAAGGGCTGGGATTACAGGTGTAAGCCACCGCGTCCAGCTGCTTGTTCCTCTTCTGCCTTCTTCCTATTCCTTTCTTTCCTCCTCCCGCCTTCATCCAACACGGTTTGTGGTCCATGTTACTTGGGACTATTATAGGCTTCAAACGAGTCTCGTATGAGCAGTCTCTAGTCCATATTCCACCCCTGTAGCTAGTGCGCCCATGTTAAAGCTCTATAGTGTTCACATTACTCCCCTGTTCATGAATGCTCATTAGCCTTCCACTAACTACCATATTAAATCCCATCTCCACCTTGGCATTCAGGGCCATCCACATAACGCTAACCCTAAGCCTAGTCAGAGCCCATTTACTTGTGTTTGTACCTCCTATTGTCCTCCCACACTCACCCTTAGAGCCCCTCTGGACCAGGCTCTGTGTCAAAAACACCAGGTGATTTGCTTACCTTTAGGCCTTTGCCTTGCCTATCTCTATCTATTAAATTCTGCCGATCTTCTTATCGTAAATACTGTTTTCTATTGACTAATTATCTATGAGAATCACACAGATACTCATACGTGAGCATTGCTTTTCTAGGATGCAACAGAACTTAATGTTTCTTATAGACCTGGCCATATTTTTCTTTTTTAGTAAGCTTTTCTATATATTAGCAACACACACTTGGCAATTTAATTTTAAAAATAACATTTGCAATACAATCAAAATCTGATCTACTTAGGGACAAGACCTATAGACTGAAAACTAGAAAGCACTGCTGAGAGAAATTTTCAGAAAGTCCTAAATAAAATGGTAAGCATGTCTTTTACAAGTATCTGAAAATTCAATATTGTTCAGATCTCCCCAAACAGATCTATAGTTTTAATGTAATTTAAATGAACATCTCAAAAGGCAGATTTCTTTGTAGAAATTGACAAGAAAGTTCTAAATTTCATAAGGGAATAAAAAGGACCTAAACTAGCCAATATAACTTTGAAAAAGAAAACAAAGTTGGAGAACTTCTGCTACTTTTCTTTGAGTTTTATTATAAGTTACAGTCATCAAGAAAGTGTGGTATTAGCATCAGGACAGAGGAAGAGATCAATGGAACAGGACAAACAGTGCAGAAACAGACAAATACTAATCTGCTAATTTTTGGCAAAATGTAAGTGTAATTCAGTGGAGAATGGACAATATTTTCAACAAGTGGCTCTGGATCAATTAAATTGATCTGATCTATGGCTTGTACCTTGTAACATTTTTCATAGTCCTAAATATGAAGGTCTAGAAGGAAACCAAGAAGATTTTTGTGACCTTGAACTAGGCAAATATTTCTTGAATGTAACACCAAAAGAATGATCCACAAAAGAAACATTGTATAAATTGGACTTTATCAAAATTTAAAACTTCTGCTCTTTGAAAGACATGTTTAGGGAATGCAAAGACAAGCATGCACAGACTAAGAGAACATATTTGAAAATTATAAATCTGATGAAGAACTTGCATCTAGACTCTATAAATACTTTTCAAAACTCAATAATAAGAAATTAAGCTACCCAATAAAAAACAGGCAAAAGATTCAAGCAGACTAAATTTTAACAAATAAAATATATGGATGGCAAATAACAACAATCACTGATGGTCAATAGTATTAGTCATTCAGAAAATGCTTATTAAAATTCTAGCAAAGCAAATTATAGTGACATAAAACCAAGCTGTGTTTGCCTACAAATGATGGGACTAGAGGAGTGAAAGGAAGGGATGGCTGAATGGCAGTCGGAGACTTTCCTGGTTCTGGACATGTTCATTATGATAGCAGTGATAGTTTCACAGGTATTTACAGATATCAAAATATATAAAAGCATATACACTTATAGCACTGTGTCAAACTATACCTCAGTAAAGCTATAAAAATAATCATGCTAGCAATGATCTCCATTTTTCAAGTTAGTAAAATAATTTTCAGAAAAGGAAACGTCTGCATGTGTGAGAGAGAAAAAAAGACCACATTAGCCTAAAAACAAACAAACAAACAAAAACCCTGCCTAAATCAGATGGCTGTCCTGGGACTCAAGGAACTGTGCTTTAAGAGGGGACTTTCTCCTGTAGTCCCAGCTACTCGGGAGGCTGAGGCAGGAGAATGGCGTGAACCCGGGAGGTGGAGCTTGCAGTGAGCCTAGATCGCGCCACTGTACTCCAGCCTGGGCAACACAGAGAGACTCCGTCTCAAAAAAAAAAAAAAAAAAAAAAAAAAAGAAAAAGAGGGGACTTTCTATCAGGCAGAGATAATAAAAAGCACTAGTCAAAGGAAGAGGCACCTTATGCAGAAATCACTGTCATAATCCTTCCTGTCTATAGGCAAGGATGGCTCTGGACCACCACCACCCCCTGCATTCTAATTTGAGAGTAGATACACTACTCCAACCCTTAGGGTCTTTCTTGGGTTCTAAGAACACTGGATGAGAAAATCTAGCTAGGATCAGGCACATCTATAGCAAAGCTCACAGGTTTATCCACAAAGGCCAGCCATGGGCTGACCACGTGAGCATTCTAGGGATGCGATCCCCAGAAATCTAGGTCACAGACAATCCTCTGGAAGGTACAAAGAGGACACTGGAGCAGGAGATGTGGTGTCCAGCCCAGTACCCCCTAGGAAGGCCATGTATGTCACTAAAGGATGCTCACTTAATACAGGCAGAATCTCATCTTCTCAGAGGTATAGCAGCCCTCCCTTATCTGCGGTTTTACTTTCCACAGTTTCAGTTACCTGCAGTAAATTGCGGACTGAAAATATAAAATGAAAAATTTACAGAAATAAGCAATACATAAGTTTGGAAGTGTGCAGCACTCTGAGTAGCATGATGAAATCTCACGCCACCTTGCTCTGTCCTGCCTATGATGGGAATCATCTTTGTCCGGCGTATCCACCCTGTTTCTGCAGCCTGCCATTGTTCATTGACATTGTCTGCTCCTGACATTGAAACTTGAACATGCTCACGGCTGGATGATCCAGAATCACCTGACGCAGATAATCCTCCTTCTGACCTAACACTACGTCACAATGCCTGGGCCGTTCACCTTGCTCAATCCAATCAGGTAGGCATTTTATCAACGCAACATAACAAGAAGTGCAGGTATGGTAAAATAAGATACTTTGCTAGAGAGACCACATTAACATAACTTTTATTATCCAACATATTGTTATAATTATTCTATTTTATGATTATTGTTGTTAATCTCTTACCGTGCCTAATTCATAAATTAAGCTTTGTCATAGGTATGCATGTATAGGAAAAAACAGTACAGTTTGTGCTCTGTATCCACAGATTCAACCAAAAGAAACAAAATGATAAAAAAGTAATAAAACAATTGAAAACTACAAGTTGAAGAACCAACACAGTATAAAAACTATTTGCATTTTATTTATTTATTCATTTTGAGACAGAGTCTCACTCTGTCGCCCAAGCTGGAGTGCAGTGGTGCAATGTTAGCTCACAGCAACCTCCACCTCCCAGGTTCAAGCAATTCTCCCTGCCTCAGCCTCCTGACTAGCTGGGATTACAGGCACATGCCACCATACCTGGCTAATTTCACCGCACCTGACCTTACATAGCATTTAAATTGTATTAGGTAATCCAGAGATGATGTAAAATATACGGAAGGATATGCGTAGGTTATGTAAAAATACTGTACCAATTTACATCAGGAACTTGAGCATCAGCAGATTTTGGTATCGGTGAGGAGTCCTGGAACCAGCCACCCGACAGACACTGAGGCACGACTGTTTGTATTGGGTTTGGTACTGCCCAAAGTTTCAGGCATCCACTGGGGATCTTGGAACCTATCTCCCATTGACAAGAGGGAACTACTGTAACCAAGAAACTTTGATTAACAAGAGAAAACTGTATGGAAAAATTCACTAATTAAATGATAAACATAATTTACAATATAATACCTTCATAAGACTTTTCTAACTCATATGCAAATAGTAAAAATACACAAAACAAGCAAGAATGCAAAAAATTTTCCCTAAATCTTACCAATTTGCATTAAAGAAAAATTTCTGGCCGGGTGCGGTGGCTCATGCCTGTAATCCCAGCACTTTGGGAGGCCGAGGCAGGCGGATCACAAGGTAAGGAGTTCGAGACCAGCCTGGCCAATATGGTGAAACCCCATCTCTACTAAAAATACAAAAATCAGTGGGGCGTGATGGTGGGCACCTGTAGTCCCAGCTACTCGGGAGGCTGAGGCAGAAGAATCACTTGAACCCGGGAGGCAGAGGTTGCAGTGAGCCGAGATCGTGCCACTGTACTCCAGCCTGGGCGACAGAGCGAGATTCTGTCTCAAAAAAATAAATAAATAAAAAGAAAAATTTCTCATAGGACTACAGTTCCCCTGGGATATTACTATTCATTTATAATCTATCATTTTGCAAGCTGAATACCTTCTTAACAATTTCTTAAAGTGCTATGAATGCCTAGACTTCTAAGACAGTGATGCCAGTGTCTCTAACTTCCTGTATATGCCACGCTAGTTTCTGTATAGAATAGGTTATCAATTTTACGTCTGTGTTAAGGACAGGAATCACAGGACATCTCACTTATTAAACGGCATCTATGGAATTATGCCAAACACATTTATCTATAAAGAATGCTGGTCCTCACTATTTTTCATTAATCAAATGCAATGTGTAACCAGTTACAAAGCCTGTAGTATTAATAGAAGCTTCTAATCTGTATAGCATGCTGCTTTCTTTTAGCTGAAATAACATTTAAAATTCATAAATATTGGAGGTAAAAAGAAGAAAAAAGATTATAATGTGTGCTCTGGCTTGTAGCCCGAGGAGAACAGAAACAGGGGAAAAACAGGTAATGCTTTCCAGCGATGAGTGATGAAAAAGAAGCACAACAATTCCAGTGACTGTATGAGAACAGCCAGAAATCATTCTTCTAAAAAATAGTTTTAAGCAGAACAATGATCTAGAAAAGGATCACAACACATTGCACTGCCCTGAGCAGTCCCATAAAGCAGTGTGATGCCTCTATAAAGCAAAGTTCCGTCCAACAGGGCTGTCAGAGGGGAACATGAGTGAAAGGGAGGGAGCGCCTTGCACATTTATATCCATGCTGCAATGATCCCCACATCTCTCATGGTGCCCAGCGCACGTCTCCTCCTGCACCCACAACCAGGAATTAGGCTCCACGTTCACCTGCTCTGCAGCTACAGGCCTTATCCTCTAATTAAACCAACCCCACTGCTCTAGAAGAATAGCCCTGCTCGGTGACTCACTAACATTTAAGAATACACACATGTGAAACTAAGATGAAAATGAGGGCGGAGATGATTTATGTGAAAGGACATTTAAAGATGAATAGGTTTTGTGAGGTTGAGGAAGCCTGCCCCTCTAGAGACAGAGGAGGCATTTGCTCAAGTGTGGAATACCAGCTGTTGAAATGTTAAGTCAAATGAAGTAGAAATGTAATGTTATTTAACAATGGCCGAAAAGGAACTCGCTAATTAGTATTTAGCAAAAAAAGGTTTTGAGTGGTCAACCTGTGTATTTGTTTATTTGTTTGCTTTTGTTTGGAGACGGTCTTGCTCTGTCCTCTGGAGGGCAGTGGCACTATCTCGGCTCTGCAACCCCCATCTCCATCTCCTGCCTCAGCCTCCTGAGTAGCTGGGACTACAGGTCTGCGCTACCATGCCCGGCTAATTTTTTTGTATTTTAGTAGTGACGGTGTGTTTCACCATGTTGCCCAGGTTGGTCTCGAACTGCCGACCTCAGGCAAACCTCCCACCTTGGCCTCCCAAAGTGCTAAGATTACAGGTGTGAGCCACCATGCCTGGCCTAATCTGTGGACTTTTTGTGTGTAGAGTGTGACTGTTACAAATGGGAATGCCCTAATCTATATGTTACTGTGGAATTTTCCTATATAACAAAAGAAACTTCTAAGAACTGCTACCATTTGGAATCCAGTAATTGTATTTATATTGAAATATTTATTATAATGAAGTATAGCAGAAAGGCTAGTGAGTTACAGAACAATATCAGAAGCCTATGTGCCATCTAAAATTTTCTTTTATTTTTTAAATTAAAATGATCTCACCAAGCTTAATCATCTCTAAATCTAAAATTTTCTACCAAGTTTACTAGGACACTAGAGGCCTATTTCTCCAGAAAAAATGGTAATACTAATTTTTACATATATTAGAAACTAAACATTTTCCAGGAATGTACAATTACTCTGGAAATTCCAAATCTTTATGTCAAAAAACCTAGAAAATCTGCCAAATGTACCATGTCTAAACCTAAGTGGGTATTGCTACTAATGGTATCTTTACTCTGTCTTTATATAGAAACAGGCTTATTTGGAATTTAGGGCTCAGAAATAGACCTACACATACATGACATGGTCATTTGATTTTCAACAAATGTATCATAGTCATCCAAATAAAAAAGTAACAACTGCATATCCATATAGATATCCATACCTCACACTATCATAAAATTTACATATGTTGGATCCTAAACCTAAATGTGAATGCCAAAACTATGGAGCTTCTGGAAAAAAAAATAGGAGAATATTTCATGAGTTGGGATTAGGCAAAGGTTTCTTTGACAGGTTAGAGACCACAATATCATTAAAAAGTAATAAACTTAGAAATTAAAACATCTGTTCATAAAAAATATGAAGAAAATGAATTACCAAACTCCAGACTATAAGAAAATAGTTCCAAAACATACACCTGATAAAGTACTGATATGTAATAAATAGATCAAAGCTTCCAGAACAATATATACATTTCCTAATGAACCTAATTTGAAAGTGAACAAAATACAAGAAGAGACATCACGAAAAGAAAAATATGAATCACTAACCAGCACGTAAGAAAGCACATAACATTGTCAGTGAGTCTGAATGGAATGCCAGTGCACAGGCACCAGAATGAAAGCCTGACAGCATCCGAGGCGGCGGAGCCACCGTAATGCTCATGAAGAGTCAGAGGTTTGACCTTTTGCTATCAATGTTGTTATAAATGTTAATGCACAACTATCTGTCAGCCCAGCAATTCCACTGCAGGACATTTACTCAAGAGAAGTGAGGCCGAGTGTGGTGGCTCATGCCTGTAATCTCAGCACTTTGGGAGGCCGAGGCAGGCGGATCCCCTTAGGTCAGGGGTTCAAGACCAGCCTGGCCAACATGGTGAAACCCCTTCTCTACTAAAATACAAAAATTAGCCGGGTGTGGTGGTGGGCACCTGTAGTCTCAGCTACTCAGGAGGCTGAAACAGGAGAACTGCTTGAACCCAGGTGGCAAGGGTTGCAGTGAGCCAGGGTCATGCCACTGCACTCCAGCCTGGGCAACAGAGCGAGACTCTATCTCAAAAAAAAAAAAAAAAAAAAAAAAGAGAAATAAAAGCATCTGTTTAAAAGTGGTTTACACAACAAATGTTTACCTTGTTGTATAAATGCTCTATTCAAGAGAGTCAAAACCTGGAGACGGCCCAGGTGTCCCTCTACAGTAGACAAAAATACTTCTCAGCCATAAAAGGCATGAACGGTTGCTCCACACAACAGCATGGAAAAATCGCCAACATATTTTGCTGAATGGAAGAAGCCTTACACCAGAGTAGAGACCACATGACTCTTTATATGACCCTTTAGAAGGCAGAAATTGTGGTGGAAAAAAAATCAGAAGTGTTTCTGCCCCTGCTGGGTGGAGGGCTTGGAACTGACCAGGAAGGAGCATGACATCATTCTCTGGGGGGTGATAATGCTCTGCAGCCTGACAGGGGCTGAGGCTGTACCACTATATCTTTGCCACAACTCATAACATTCCACCGGATATAAAATCTATCTGAAAAACTGAACTATGAACATGTATTGAACTTGTTTGTCATGGTGTTCATGTTGAAGTATTTCGAGGTGAAGTATACTCATGTCTCCAACTCACTTTAAAACTCATTTTAAAATTCTTCAAAAATGAGACGAATTGGTAAGTGGATGGAGAAGGATAGATAGATATTTAGCCAACAAAGGAAATAGAGTAAAAAGTTAATTGCAGAGCTCTATCAAAAAGCAATCCTTACCCAACAGCATGAAGAGATTAGTAGACAGATGCTCTAGCTTCCCATTCTCTGGAAGCACAATTCTATGAGACATTCTCCATAGCTCCTCAGATGCCCAATGAGACTGTGCCCTAATTGTCCCCTGCACTATAAACTCAACTACCCACTCTTTGTCAGCTTTGCTTTATTTTCCATCTGACTTTCCCAACTCCTCAATGTACTTCCCAAGATTACTCCCAAATGAACCACCTGCACCTAAAACAGAGTCTTTGGTTCTGCTTTTACAGGAACCCAACAAAGATGATAATATAGGGAATAGCATGCATATGTCCAACTGTGTCAGAAATGAGGAGCCAAGCTGATGAGTGGATCTACAGTGATGTTCTAGGAAATTTAAAATGTAGAATTCCATTTTCGCATTGTCAAATGCAAGGTGTACAATTTTGAGAATTTTAAATAATTGAATATATAAAATGAAGGCTCTGAAATATCTGTTGCGATAGAGGTAAGAGATCTGACAGCTTGTATGTTGGCATCACAAAACTATTGTCAGTTGTTACATAAATGGATGGTAAAGCTGGAATGCCTGGATTGGAGTCTCGGCCCTGACGTGTGCTTGTTAATCCCTCCTGCCTGGGTTTCCTTGATCTCTTAAGCAAAATGTTGAAAGAGCAGCTGGATCATGGTAAATGCTATTGAAGTGTGCTATTGTTTTTATTATTGCCTGGCAAACACTAAGGAAGTCTATCCAAGGAATTGTAACAGAAGGAAAATGAGGGATCTGACTATTATAGAGAAAAGTAATTAATTTCCACGAAACAGTCAGTAACTTGGCTAAAGCGAGCTTTGGATTATTTGTCAATTCTGAAATAACAGGGATTTTTTTTTTTTTTTCAAAACAAGTAAATTTAGGACAAATAAGATGACGTACTTCACAAAGTAATGAAAAATGTATGGGAGCCATTGTTCCTCAGGGATGGGAAAAATTTGACCAGTGTTTGTGCAAATTTGGGGAAAAAAAGTCATGGACTAGCACTAAAGGAATGAGATCTACCTAGACTTTGAGGTTTGTAAAGGGTCTTAATGAGGCAAACACCAACTGTGTTCTTTCTTGATTCTGTTCATTACCTCATTTAATTTTCAATGGTCTTGCCGTGAATATTTGCATGAGATATAGAATATTTTTAAAGCAAGAATATTAATAACAGTTTTTCATTTTAGGCTCATTAAATAAAAACGTCATTTTTTCACTAATTCACATGACATTTATTGAGATGTATTAAAAAATAAAAGAAAGACTTTGAAGACAAAATTGCTCAAAGGTTAGGGGCAATCTGCTCTTCTTGGAGTAAAATTCAAGGGCCATTATAAGAAGTATAAGTCAAATTATAGTACCAATCAAAGAATAAAATATTTTTGATGGAACTGATATAAAAAAGTTGCGTATCCTTGTAAGACGAATTTCTTTCTCTCCCTATCTCTGAGTAGCTGCATAAACCACTAAGTTTTTCTAGAAGCAAGTGATAATGCTTTATCATAGGTACAGGCTTAAAGAATGATTAGGTACACTTAAAGTTGGGTACTCCTATCAAAATCCAAGACAGTGCATTGCTTCTTTCCTTTCCAAATTTTTTTTTTCAGTCTTGTGGCCCCTAACTAGTAATTAAGAGAACTAAATTAAAGTTCATACTGGCTACTTGAAATCTTACTTTTAATATTCTTTGCATTATGCATGGAACTTGTCTATGGTTTTAAAATCCAAGGGGAATTATGACATTTGTAAGGCAAACCCAGGCTTTCATCCATCATTCTAATCTGTTTTACAAAAAAAAAAAAAAAAAAAAAAAAAATCAAAGCAGCATTTGGGGGACAAAATGAGTGACAGAAAAATGGCAAAAATGTGTCAACAATAGTGAGATTTCAGAGATCCAGGAGACTAGCTACTAACCTCAGCATCTCCCGAGATACTCCATTATCGCTATTTATGTTATTACAGATGATATAAATCTTACGTACAATCATTGTACACTGAAAAGTAGCAGAAGGAACAGAGGTTTGTGACCAGAATCTATGACGCAGGGAAAATTAAAAATGCATGAACCATTCCATATAGGAGGGAATTGAAAATTATATGCAAAAGAGTATATGTACACCCACAGACATGCTATATAAAAATGAACAAAATTTAAAAGCTTATTGTTACCCATTGTTCTGATACGTATTTCTGTTTTCTTGGAAGGTTCTTTGCTGGCCGGCCAGATTCCTAAATTTTATATCCTGCTGCACTAGTGAGATATGTAAGAGGATTCCAAACACTCAAGTGTCCAAACTGAGCTGTGCTGAAGACTTCAGGCTCTCCTTCCCGTAAGATGAGAGGTCATCAGGAAGATGATGCTCTGTGATAACAGGATTGAGGCAGAAAAGCTATTTGTCACATTCCCTTGTTTGGATTTTGGTTTTGGACTAGAAAGAACACTGGCTTCAAAGTCAGAAATCAAGAACCAAAGCCCAGTTCTAACGTGTTTTATTAGCTGAGGGACTTCAGGTAAATCATTTAGCATTTCTTTCCTTCAGTTTCTTCAGATATTTAATGAAAGAATTAGACCAATTGATTTCAAGGTTCTCATTTTGTTTCAAGATTCTACAGTTATAAATCATAAATAAATCACCAGTAAGTTTGCGTTTGTCAAACAATTCAAGTTACTACCACTTTACAAGGGCACATATTAATTTTCTTAAAAATTTATCACATGTTATGTAAAAAAATAAGACTTCTGAAATACTTAGACAAACCATAAATGTGCAAATATTCTATTTCACTACCTCATAGACAAGTTTTAGCTGATTAGCATGCCCTGATGAAAATACACACGATATGCAGGTGTAGGAGTTGGATGAATATTTTTAATTGTGTATCTCCTCTGTAGGCCAAAACTGTTCATCTACTAATACATTAGCCTTAAGGCATGTGCCACTTTTAGTGACTCAGTTGTTAAAACTGCGTTACAGCTGCATTTGCTCCCAAAAAATATTAAAGTCCTGTAAGATTTCTATTAATGAATCCTTTTGATCTTCTATTTTACATCAGGTAAAAGGTTTCAGGAGCTTCTCCATTGTTACAACATCTCCTTGTATCTAGGAGGATATGGGGGAAAATAGCAATAAAATAGGTGGGGATGACATTCTGATACTAGAGAGCAGTTAAACGTGATGGGGGAAGAAAGCGACGATCCAACAGAATATCCTCGAGTAGGAAAATGATTTTATCGCATGACTGCCTACCTCATTACAAAGTGAAATTCACCACTATACATTTTCGTGTGAGCTTTCATCTGCTGTACAGGAGAGTGGCTCCCTGGGTTTCCTATAACAGCTGTTCCCATGAATCTACCAGATATTTTGTTTCCACTTTTACCTTTCTTACTCTCTGTCTCCATACCCTTCTGAGGGATGAGGGTCTGTTGCCTAACTCTTTCATTAGTTATTTATTTATATCTGCTCTGGGAAAGAAGATTGTGGAAAATGTGAGAGCAATTCACACATCAACGTTTTAAGATCCCGTGTACAAATGGGATTGCTCCGGAAAAGCTTCTTCCCACAGGCACTAATTAAAAAGCAGGAAGTTCACTTGAGCAGCATTTTTCTTCCGTTTATTTTCCTTTGTAATAGACATGCTACTTTTTACTTTAATTTGAACATTATCCCTCTCTGTCCAAAAAAATACAAAAACAAAAACCAAACAAAATACAGTAAAGGAAGGCAGAGTATAACATTAACAATTTAGAAAAGATATTATTTTCCCCTAATAAATTCTACTGCATTCTTGGAAAGCATTAAAAGTATAACAGGTCACACATCCTTGAAATATTAGATGAAGGAATTTGTGAAGACAGACTATTGGAACCTCTGAGAAATTAGCTGGGCCTCTACTTCCGTGGTCATTCTGAAGCATTTTTAGATGCTGGTCACGATTAATGCTGGAAACAACGTTAGTGACAGTTCTTCTGTGCTTATCACATGCCTTTAGTTCAGGACCGAAAGAAGGAAGGAAGGACCACAAATGGTACACGAATGGGCTGCACAGGGTGGTTTAAAAGGTAAGAAACCAAAGTGATTGCTTGTGTCTCATTTAAGTTAAATTTACCACAAAGTTCATATTCAATAAATTTAATAAGAAAGGTAAATAAAAACAATCACAGTAAGAATTACATATGAAAATAACTATCCATTCATTCTATTAACAAACTAATAAATTATTGAACATACACTATGAGTGATTCTGTCCTAGATACTGGAGATTTTCATGATATACTAAGTATGTTTCCTGCAAGAGTTGAGGATGTCAGAACCACTGGGATACTGCGGTTGAATAGACACCATTGCCTCTTGGTGGTCTGAGGCTGGTAAATACACAGGCAGGAACTACGCATTGCAACAGAAATACCTCCAAAGGTCCTTATGAGGATGGTGCACACAGAAAAAAACGTAGGGTCATGGAGAAACTGGAAGGAGGAGGATAGAAGAAATAGGTGAAACAGGCTAAGATTTATCCACCCCAAGTTGGGAGATGGTATTCCAGTGGGAAAAATTTCACTGCTAAAACTAAACTAGACTAGCAATTCTGTAAGATGTAAGAGTGTGAGTGATGAGCTGAGGGACAGCCTGAGTGGTTGAAACGCTGCTTTTCTGATGATTTGGCTGATGGAGTGGCCCTAAGCAAGTTTCTTCACCGCTCCGTTTCAGATTCCTCCTCTGTCAAACCGGGAAAATACTCGTATCTACAGTAAGAGTTGAAGGATTCAATGAAGGATTTAATATATGCAATGCTGAGAAAGGTCTGTGGTGTTCAGTAAAAAATCAGGGTCTTTTAGTTTCTTTCGTAGGGCTGCACACGCCTGACACAGGGGATGTGAAACACAGACCTCTCATCCTACAAGTCCCAGCTGCACCTGACCCCAGCAGCCTAACTGCCCCTGGCCCATGACTCTACCCCAGCCCATTATCTTCTTCATAATCACAATTTATAACTTGGCTATTGCTACATTACATGGTGCATTTGCCTATGTGTATACTTGCTTATTTTGCATTTATTTTCCTCATATATGAGCCCTAGGAGGATACGGACTTGCCTGTATTTGGGGACTGGAACATATAAGGTGTTCAATGAGTTTTGTTAAATCATTACTGATGATGCTGATGATAGCCTGCCACTACATAGCTCTTCCTTTGTGCTACTCTTCTAAGCATTTTAAATACACTAATATTCTTAATTCTCACAGCAACTCCAAGAGGCCTGCCTCATTAAGTGGGTCCTGTTACTGTTTTATAGCTGAGGATATTGAAGTGCACAGGATAAAAAAGAAAACCACCTAAGGACACAGAGTAAGTGATAGAACTGAGTGCTGAGCTAGCAGTAGGCTCTCAAAACATATTCTTAGCCATTAAGCTGCCTGGTTCTAAGTAACTAAATGACAGATCGGAGCGGGGTGCTGCCTGGGGCCCTGGCTAGCCAGTAGGCAGAAATGGACCCCAAGCTACCCAGGGATGGGAGATGGGGCAGATATTAAGAGAAATGAGGCACATCCTGTACTAGACAATTTTCCTAGAAGCCCAGTGGCTGAGCTGTTTCATCTGCAGCCAAGAGTGATGTTCCATTGTTTCGCATGCACTCTGTGAGCCGCCTGCTGCCTGTTGCCTGAGCCTTACTCCTTCATCCAGCAGAGCCAGGCCGGCCCACACCCCACACTCTTACCACAGATGGACTGGGTTTGAATCATGGCTGTTAAATGCCCTTCAACACTAGTCAAGTGATTACTTTCTTTATTTCTTCACCTGCAAAATGGGGATTATAAGGTACCTACCTCATAGGTTTGTGGTGAGAACTAAATGAGTTAATACAGAGACCAATGCCTGGGACAAATGTAGCTCCTCTAATTAACAATTTGAATTCCCTGGTCCCTTGGTTTAGTCCCTGTTTGTCATGTACTTTACAAAAGTGACAGGTTCCTATTCTTGGAAATGAATCTGTCTATACTCAGAATCAGAAAAACCAAAGGAACAAAATAAAAATGGAGGCATACCAGCCAATGGGTGCCTCGGTGGTATCTCCATGAAATCTAACCCATCAGAGGCAGATAAGCACAGAGTCCAAGGCCTTCCTCTCCAGAAGAAAGAGGAAGAAGGGGGGCGTGTGGGAGTGTAGAGTGCAACCCCCTGAGGGGCTGAACCCACAGAAACAGCCTAGGGGTGAGATAAGGGGTCCTGGCCCCTGAAGACACCCTGGGGAATTGAATGGCTTGGGGATGGGGAAGGAGAAACTGGGGGGCAGAGGTGAATACCTCCCCATTTCTCAATGCCTGGCACCTGCCATTCTGCTGTTCCTTTCTTTCCAAGATCAAAACAGGACATTGGCCATCCTCCTGGGTTGTGCTTCCAAGGCTCTCTTTGATCACTCTCAGCCCTCCAGCTTCCAGCTGAAACTGACCTCTAGTGGCCTGTACACTGGTCTTACTACAGTCATTGCCCCCAGATTCAGAACTCCCGTCTCATGTCCTGATTGCTGTGCAGTCAGCATCTCCACGGACCAGCACTCTAGATTATAGCACCGAGTACAAGATGGAAAACCAAGGAATTTCACCACCAGTTAGTGTTAGACAATTCATTGTTCTTTAGTGGCTTGAGATTTAAAGTGGCAACTCCATAAAAACTGACGAAGCCTTCCTTGGTGTTGACCTTTGACACTTGTGAGCAGCCACATGTGGAGTGCGTCCTGGACATTTTCAGGTATCTATTTTGATGCAGCTTTTTTTTTTTTTTTTAAATTAAACAGACTTTCTCACTAAATTGCTTTGTCATGGCCTCAGGGAGAATCTGGCCTACAACACTGTTTACTATTTCAAGTCATGTGTGAATTTGATGCCCTCATTTCCTCTTCTTCATGCTTGTCTTACACCAATCAATAAAGGAAGGAACTGGGTCATAGTCTCCTGGGGATGACTCCCAGAGTTCAAATTCTGGCTCTGCCTAGCTGTGTCTTTGGACCAGTTAGTTTCTTCATCTCTATAATGGAATTGCAATATTACTTTATAGGGTTATTGTGAGGAATAAATAAGATAATGGGTATAAAGTGCTTGGCTGGAGCAAATGTTCATTGGGTGTCAGCTATTCTCATCGTCACGATCAGTCTATGAGATGGAGTCCACTGTACTTGGTACTTGGAAATAAGACGTGTTTATAGATCTGTGCTGACATGTCAGTTTTCAAGAGCCACCATATATCCTGCTCTATGCGTAATCTTTGTAATTTAGAGTAAATGTTAAGGAAGAGAGGGCAGGAAGGAATAAAATGTAATGAGCAATCATTGGACAAATAAATTGCATCCACTTTTTAAGTGCATTTTGTATACAGTTTAAAGGTAGAATTCCTGAAGTTATACGATTTTAAAATACACTTGAGAAAGGTGATGGGCTGTCCAAAGCAATGATTTTCTTCTAAGAAATACTTACACATATAGAAAATTTGTATCTTTATATTTGCTGATGTGAGGCTGCTCTACACTTTGTTCCCTTCCATCAGCACGCAGGAAATAAATAAAATTTGCCCACACGCTAAATAAAAGTCAGCTGAATCCCAAGTCCTTGCCGTCCCCTCAACCACACAAACTCATGCACCCATAAATATCTTCTTTTTGGTTCTGAGTGCACACAGAACCAAAGGAATTTGTATTGAAACGTTTGATTTCACTTAACCTGCATATTTCTATTTCTATATATCTTAACTCTGAAGTTAAAATACAATTCTTCCAATGATATGAAACACAGTATTTTAAAGGTATCACACATCTTGGGTTGTTAGCAAGAATTTATATAATCATTTATCCAAATCACTATCTATTTTGGCTTCACACCAGACTTCTAATCAATTCTATATCCTTGTTCAAGGCATGTTTCTTATTTTTCACCACTAGTCAGGTATTCATTCCCTTGTGCTTTGTTCTTGTTCATTTAACACACAACTAGTCCCATTCATAGGAAACACATCCTAATCCAATTGGTGTTTTACAAATTGAATCTTCCCAACAGAAAGTCATTGTGTCCCTCCTAGTTCAGAAATACTAACTGCATGCACTTGAAGTTAAATCAAAGGATAATTACTGGTCTAATATTTTGGATCATCTTAAATATAGAACCATATTGTGCTACAGCTGGAGAAATTCTGAGAGTTTTTAGATAACTTGGAAATTACACAGCCTACCGAGGTGTCTTTCCCCACCCTGTGAGGCTCTACTAAAGAGACAAGGGGGACTTCACAGAAAGTTTAATTCAAACTTAATTACACTTGAGCCTGAAAGTTGATTAATCGGTTACATTTGCAAGCAGCAGAAACCAACTCTGGCTGTCTTATACATCTTGTACACCTTGTTGTCTTATACACCTTGGTAGGATGTTAGCCTCCAAGTCTCCCTCCAGGCAAGCTGTCCCAGAGGTCATAGAGCAGGAAGACTTGGACCAAATTAAAATGCTTGAATCACGTAACTTTTTAAAACATAGTTTGAGAAACAAAAGGGAACAGAAAAGAAAAGTGAGCCAGGGGAGAAGGTGATTTTTGTTTATTGCCTTTTATATCTATTATATTCCCAGCACCACCTACAACACTGGTCCGGTACATAGCAGGTACTTTATGAAGATGTCCTGAATAGCTATAGGATATAAGTATGCAACCCTTTTGTAATTATTATAAGACAATGTCTTGGAAATCATAGCTAAAAACAAATCAAACGAAAGAAACTTAGTCTCATATTCTATTGTCAAAAATTCTTCCATGATGGTATATGCAATAGAAGCTGTACTGGTGGATTTCTCCCATGTACAGGTTAGCACACAGGTAACATATGACCTACAGAGCTGCAGAGGATCTGTCTGCTTAGTGCTGAAGGCCACCACTTGATATAGAAAGTAGAAGTGGGGTGTCAGGGTGGTAGGGCCACTGGTCCACGGGACATACTGCTGGAATAGCAAGACTTGGACCCCTGCTTCTGTTTATCCTAAGGAAGTGACTGGTGCTCCTCTGATGATGCAATGCAAATGTCCTGCAGTCTAAGGGCTGTTGTCTGACATCCAGTCTCAGTAAATATCTGTGCTGCCCCATCTCCATGAATTCTCCATATAAAGGCTATTTGAGAAGCCAGGCTGTGAGTGCTCTCCACCATGTAGCCTTCACTGACAGAAAATCTGCTCAATGTTTTAATTTTAAAGGTAGATTATGGATTCTTTTATAATTAGTTGTAGAAAAGATCCTCTGGCAATATGGTAGTTAGAACACATCTTTGCCACCCTTCGCTCTCAATTAAATATTCAACTCTTACCTGCTAAGCAGGGGGAGCTTGGGGCACATGACTAAGCCTTAAAGTCCTATAAAAGTATCAGCAGAGGGGCCTATTAAGATTTGGAGAGGGGTGGAATTAGATGAATAATCTAATAAAGAATAAACATCCCTGAAGAGCCAAGAAAATTATGTAGAATTTAAGTTGGTTGAGGCTAGGCTAGTGTTTTAAGTTGGTTGAGGCTAATTTAATTTAAGTTGGTTGAGGCTAGGCTAGTGAAAGAACTGTGCAGTCACTAGACTCAAATAAGTATAAAGAGCCACACCGTCTCGTGGATAATACCAAATAATAGAGGACCCATAAGTAAATCTAGGACTATATGGTACTTCATTTTGGCCAGGTGATATATTGATATGTTGGGAGAAAGGATTATTTAATAAATGGTAATGTCACAGAAGGCCATCTATTCAAAGAAATGAATTTGGGCCCCTTCATCACACCACATATGAAAGGAAATTTCAGGCCAATTAAAAGTTTTAAATGTAGTAAACTAAAAAAATAGCAGATACATCTGACATCTAGAGGCTCGGAGACCTTGATAATCGACAGGTGACTACATGAAAATATTTGTATATGATGATACCATAAATAAAAAACAGCAGACAGTGGAAACTGATAGACTAGAACAATATACATGCGACTCCCACAGTAGAGAAAAGGTTACTATCTGCCATAAATACGGCTTACACTGTGATTTGAAAACCCTACCTAATGTATGGGAGCAGAGAGAAATGCTCAATAAACAGATGAAACAAAATTTAAGTTACAAGAATATTTTGTTTTGGCTAATCAGACTCTGAACACAATGAAATTCCTTTTTTTTTTTTTTGGGAAAAGGAGTCCTTTCATAAAATGAAAGCAAAAGTGTGAATTATTACAGCCTGAAATTAAGGAAATAAGTATAAGGACATATATTTTACTCACACACAAAAAAATAAATAAATGCATATAAATATGTATACCCCTATTCACTGGATTGCTGTATATAGTCACACACACACATGCACAGGCACTCACACCAAAATCTAGAAATATCAGTAACAAATCAATAGGCAAATGTTTAAATCAAAGCCATTGCAGCAGAGCATAGAATATTATGCAGTCATAAAAAATTTTTAAAAATAGAACTATAAAAATTACCTTTGAGAGAATGGCTATAAATGATTAAGAGAAACAAATTCAGAAGAAAAAAGAAAAAACTTATTTCTATGTGTGAGTGTGAATGCATGCCAGAGATATCAGAAAGGATTTTCACTAAAATGGTTAGCAATGCTTGTATCAGCGGTTTCTACCTCACCTTTTTTATATTGGTTAAGTGTTATATAATGAGAGTGCATTGCATTATTTGTCACATAAAATTTAATTTGAAAGCTATTTCATTGCTAAAAGGCACTGGTATAACTATAACTTATTTTTCTCATTTAAAAATATTCTATCAAAATAACATAGTGCTTCCACCAGGTGTGTGTCAAAAAAAGAAAAACAACAATTACTAATGCCTATCATTTAAAAGGACTTTGATATAATTAAGCGAAAAAAAAAATAAAAGCAAAGCACGTTCTCTTTGTGCCTTCCAACTACACCAAGAATACAACAAAGACGGCAGAAGTTTGTCTGTACATTTAATAAAGAAAACAAATTAAAGAGAGTGCTTTGCACTGGGACATTTGAATCCAGTGGCAGCTGCCAGATTAAAAAAATAAATAAAGAGCCATAGATCAAGCTGCAGCTGCGTGCCTCCAACTCACTCCGCAGCACAGGCCCAAAGCCATTGTCAGTGCCCCCGGATGTGTGGGTGTCCTTCATTTCTCTTTGAATGTGGCCAGGCCTCTTGAAGGAGAACACTAGGTGGCATGCCTACCAAGCTCTGAAACACCATTAACCACCAGGAAAAAATGCGATTAGGATTCTATTTGGAGATCATATTTTCCCCTGTAGGCTAAGGAGGCATTCTCTAACACTGACAGGCTCTGAGTCTCTTTAGCCAGAAAATCAAAAAGTTTCTGTGAAGCCACTAGGTAGGACTTTTAGAAATAGAGTCGCTACATCCTCTAGGCTCCTGGGAAAGAACCTGTAGCTGAATTATTTTTGTGGGTCATCCGTAAAATGTTAATTGTGGATTGTCAAACCCTTACTGCAGAGAGGACTTTCACAGAAACAGTTCTATTTCTGATAAATCAATTTTAGCAGAAGAGTCTCTTTTGACATGCTTAATTCAATGAGCAAATTGTAATGGGCCTATCCCTTAAGACACTGGTGTTTGTGTGTTTGGGAGTGTTCGCTCAGCAATCTTGGCCCTGATGCTGGGGGAATTTGAACCTGACAGGCCCAGAGGATGGGGCCAGCCCCTTTCCCTGGCCTATGGCTCCGGTGCTCCAGACACACACACCTGAGCTACCTCCCTTAAAGGTTGGAGGTCAATTAAATCCCTCAAGTACCTACTACCAAGCTATTTGTTTAAAGACTATTTTGGCCATTTTTTTGATCAGTAGGATATTGTCACGTGCTGCCAAAGTGCTGCAGGTGGACATGTTTGTGTGTTCTGAAGGACTTACATCATCCTGCAATGGTCAGCTTTATGACACAAAGAATGAGTGATAACTCAGTCTTCTCAGTTTTGTGTCGTTTGTGGTTTTGTTTGTGTTTATTTCTTTCCCTATCTGGGGTAAAAGCCTCAGTCCCTGATTCAGCAGCTTTCTATCTAGGTGTCTGATTTACTGAATTGCATCATCTCTTCCTCATCAGTGTTTTCGCTTGTTTGCTTGTTTGTTTTGAGTCAAGGGCTCTCCGTCTGTCACTGAGGCTGAGTGCAAGTGGTGCGATCACAGCTCGCAGCAGCCTCAAACTCCTGGCCTCGAGCGATCCTCCCACCTTTGCCTCTTGGGTAGCAGGGACTACAGGTGTGTGCCACCACACCTGATGCCTGGCTAATTTTTAAAATTTTTTTCGTAGAGACGGAGTCTCACTATTTCCCAGGCTGGTCTCAAACTTCTGGCTTCAAGCAACGCTCCTGCCTCGGCCTCTCGAAGTGCTGGGATTACAGGTATCAGCCACTGTGCCTGGCCTCCCTTCAGTCGTAATTGCATTTTGAAAACTGGGCCTGCAGCTCTGTGGATACCACACATGTTCTATTTGAGCCTATATTTCTCTGCTGGCCGAATTTCTTAGGAACCTGTGCCAATTGTTTTTCATCTTTGATCATCAGCCCGAACCATGCTGTGTCCACCTGAGGGGACGGTCCAGCATCTCTGTGCCATGGCAGATGGACTGCCGGGGCTCCACCTGGTTTTGGAACCTGCAGTTTGCACCATGGCTCTCCTGACTGCAGAGCCACCGGCAGCTGCTGTGTTTCCTCATTTCCTCTAACCCCAGTCTGTGGGGCCTTCCCCTTCAGCCTGCTGCAGAACCCATCCCTCTGGTCAGTTGAAAAATGTGGGTAACTGAGTTGGAGGTGGCATGAGGGGACTTTCTGGAAAAGGTCTAAAAGTCTGTCTAGAGGAGCGTATACATGTGTGTAGGTAAGAATGGCATCAAGTTGCACACTGAAGGTTTATGCCCCTTACTATATGTCAACAACAACCAAGAAAAGAATCACCTGCCAAAGTCAGTCACCACCTACTTAGTTCCCTAGAGTTGCCACTGGCTCAATTCATGAGCTTATGTATGTGCCAAGGGGAAAGGCTTCCTCCTCCACTCAGGTTTTGAACATTGTAAACACTACCAAGCAGCAAACAGATAGAGCCTGAACGTGTGAAACTTAAATATCTATTTAGTGTTTGCCTCCTCTTCCCATTTTTTTTTCCTTTGACAGAAAAATTGTAGTAAGGGGACAGTGCTTTTTGTTATCTTATTACTGTGTGTGTGTGTGTGTGTGTGTGTGTGTGTGTGTGTGTATGTGTGTAGCAAAGTCTACATCCTAGAAATGTATGCTGCATGCCACAGCTGGGGGCCTTTGTGATACATGTGATAGGTGAAATTCATTGTAAAGGCATATTTGAGGTGATTTTTCCTTATTGTAATTCTCTGTGAATTGGGAGCTGCACTGAGGAAGTGACAAGGATGAAATGATGGTTACTATGATCAGCCTGTTTTCCCCAACTAAACATTTTCACTTGGTTGAAAGCTACCAGAGACTACAGTCAATAATAACTTAATCGTACATTTAAACTTAAAGAGCGTAATTGCATTGTGTGTAACTCAAAGAAAAAATGCTTGAGGGGATGGATACCTCATTCTGCATCCTGTGCTTATTTCACATTGCATGCCTGAATCAAAACACATCATGTACCACAGAAATATGAACACCTCCTATGTACCCACAAAAATTACAAATGAAAAAAGAAAGTCATCAGGTCTCGAATATACTATAAACATATGTGTTTACAGTCTCTTCAAACATATACCAAGAACCTTATTTAAATCTCACCAAAAAGAATTGTCGGCTCACAGGACAAGCTTAAGAGCTGTCCACTGTGATAATGTGACAATCCCAAACGAATCTTTTCTCCTCCTTTTTCATATTTCTCCCTTCCCCACATTGACTGAATGATATGTTGTCGGTTCCTTTTGTTCCAATCAGGTAGTTTTCAAAATTTCATGGCAGGGGAACTGAGTTAACCAATATATACATAGCCTAATTAGCTTTCAAGTTGGCTTTATGGGGCAAACAAGCAAGTGCGTTATACAACAGGGAACAGTGGGCTCCCCTCCCTCCTGTATCTCAATGACTGGGCACACAAATGCATCCCCATATATTAACTGGACAACACAACAGCCCCAGCTAGACCAGAGATGGTAGACACCAAAGAGGACATCAGGGAACAGGCAAAATCCAAATAACATGATTCTAGTTTAAACTGGATTGGCCTCATTCTCAGGTGAAAATGGGTTTACACAATGCATCCCTGCAACATTTGTAAGCTTATTTGTTCCTTTACACCACGTTTCATTCAGAAAGAACGTGAAACAGCCCATAACAATACAAGCAAGTGAAGATATCTGTGGAGGGGAGTGGGCTGACCGAGGAACAGAAGGGTAGGAAATGTTGACCCAGTCGGGGGTGACGTTCCAGTCCCAGGTCAGTTCCCGAAGTTTCATGTGCTTGCTAGAGGCAGGACACCTATTTGTTTCTAAGCTTTCCAGCAAGCATAGGAAAGGGAAGTGGGATTAATTACATAAATCACACAAACCATTTGCATATTTCTTTGCTATTTCTGGTACTGAAACCAAAGAATACAAGTGGATGCTTGGTGTTACCAACATCTGCACATGAGCTGAATAAGGATGATGGTCATATTGGCTCTGGAACCACTTACAGCTTCTACTTCAGATCATGGATTTCCACACATAGTAGGTATTAAATGCTTTTTGAATTTAACGGGACAAGGGAAGGTAATCAGAAAATGAAGAAAGAAAAAGAGAAATAAATGCATAAAGAGGGTCAGGCTTGGACAAATATTGATACAGTGTTGTACAAGAACCATAGAATCCAACATGGTACACCTGAGATACAAAATAACAACAGCAACCACAAAGAGAAACATGGGGAGAATCAGGGAAAGAAACTAAGAATCATAAGTAGGAATCACTAAGTGGGAATCAGGTCCTAAGCAAATTGCTTTATGTGCATTTGATTATTTATTCCATCATTGCTTGTCAGCTTCCAACTATCCCTGCCCAAGAGAAAAGTGCACAGACACACTCAGATTTAGGGGTAGGAAAGAAGTTGAGAATAAGAAAAGAGGTTCTGAAAGGTTAAGGATCTTGCCAAAGGTCACACATCTAGGAAGAGGAACTTGGTTACCTTATCAAAAACAGGAAATCCATTCTCAGTTTGATAATGAGTCAGATATTGTACTGACTCATTATCCCAGAATACGTACAAACATTCTCAGTGATCTGAGTTCCTGGCGTATTTTCTTTTGTATTGCAATCTCACAAATAATGTGTAGAGAAAGAAAGGAACTGCATGCAAAGTGTGTTCTTTTTACACACTTACTTTGCATCCACCAGTTTCTACCCTGGACAAAGACAGGGGTTGGAGCTGTTATTTGCTGTATTACTGCTGTACTAGTCCCTTCTTGATGGTTCCAAATACACTACACTCTAGTCATTAAACACAGATGTTGCCTGGAGATCAAACGCTACACTTAAAATCATGATTCAATCTGCGTTTACATTTAGAATGGGTGTAAACTTGAGGAGAAATGCTGTATTCAGAGATATTGAAGACAGACTTATAAAATATAATAGAATTTTATATTACACGTAGAAGCGTCTCAGCCTGAGGACAAGTGGCACTAGCTGTAGTTGCCGTCAGGCTGAAGCCTGTCTATGGAACTGGGCGGGGTGGATCTACCGGGAGTCTACTGACATGGGACAGTGAAGAACCACCTGGGAAAACATCACTGTGTGTCAGGAGGGTGTGCAGGCACCCAAGCATCATGCAAATCTAACACTTCAGTCTGAAACATGGGATGGCAAGTTACTACCACTCAGCCAGCTCCCATGGGCTCATCCCAGGATCCTCGCAGGAGTACACGGGAATTTTTCTCTTATTAAAACATGTGTGGGCATACCTCATTTTATTGCACTTTTACTTTATTGTAATTTGCAGATATTGCCCTTTTTACAAATTGATGTTCTGTGGCAAGCCTGCTTAGAGCAAGTCTATTGGCACCATTTTTCCAACAGCATATGCTCATTTTGTATCTCTTTGTCACACTGTCTTAAATTTAACCTTCAACTAAATAACTATTGTATTATTTGAAACGTTCAAGTAAACTAAAGTTTTGTGAAAACTGCTTTTCACCTACTTCTAAAATGCATTATTATTGGGTCATTTCTGACACCTTTTTTTCTTTTTTTTGGTGCTTTTCTGCCGATTTGAAGAAATAATGATAAAAAAGAATTTCTATAAATGTAAGGATACTTGGTTAATGTATATTTGCATTTCATTGACAAAATAACATTTTCCATAACCATGTGGTCTCAAGCAGATAAATTCCTGTCCAGAAGCACGGTGCTACCTTCAGCATTTAAATGTCGGGAGGCCCAATGTGTTCTCACATTGAGAACCACATGCATTGGAAGGTGGCTGCTATTCAGATAGGGAAGATGTAAGAGGATGGAGAACAAATGAGGTCCTAAGGAGACATGTAAGGCATTGGGAGTTCTTCTGCTGCAGAACCCAGGCTGCAGCCCAAAGGGATCTGAGAGACAGCTGCTACTGACAGGGAACTCACACAGGCCACATGGAGCTGTTTCCCTGCCATCATCATCTTCTGGTGGGTCTCCTTGCTGACCCACTCTGAGGATAAGAAGGTGAAGGAGATGTCCTTGACAGATGGCAGCCTATGAAGTAGGTTTCTCTGTGTAAGAAAGTCACCTCCCCTCCTGTCTTGGTATGGGGAGGGAAAGACTGTAAGCCTCTCTGTCTTATAAAAATCAAAGATTTGTGGTTCCAAAATTATATGCCAAAGTATACATCTTGGAAGGAATTCAATATGGTGATAAAACTATAAGTTGGGAAACTAACAACCTTGGTCCTAGTCCCAGATCTGATCTGTCACTGCTGACTGCATGACCAAGGCAAGGCCTGTCTGATTTCTAAGCTTTGGGCTCAATAGCCATAAAACTTTACTAACACTTGAATTGCCGCAGTATGCCGCCCCTCGATCCCTACCATACACCCCATTTATGCAATAGCCAAGTAACTTTTTTCCAGCTCTTTCTTCCTAGTTTTAGAAAAATACACTTACTAGTTCTAAAAATCCAAACAGGTGCACCTGACTGCCCCAGGGAGAATCCCCTGAACTAGTGCTATCTAAGAGAATTTTCTGTTGACAGGAATGCTCTAAACTACAATGAATGCAGCAGCCTCTAGTTGCAACTGCCCAGTGAGTCCTTGAAATGTGGCCACTGTGGCTGATAATCTGACTATTTAATTTTCTTTAATTTTAATTCATGAAAATTTAAAAAGTCATATGTGCCTAGTGGCTGACATATTGGACAGTACAGCTCTGTATCAACTTTTGCTAATTAATGTACATATCCAGGATCTTGTACTTTATTTGTCCTTTTAATCAATCAAATCCAATATTCAATAAGCAAAAATTACTGATTGCATAATAGGAGGCTTCACAAAAGGGCAGAGTCTAGTGAAGTAAAAAACATCCACTGTCCTCTCTTTCTCTTGATTACTTCCAACATTTACAAATTTGGGCTTGCCCCGCTGATATGGTTTGGCTGTGTCCCCACCCAATTATTAGTTCCCATAATCCCCATGTTTCACAGGAGGGACCTGGTGGGAGGTAACTGAATCATGTGGGCGATTTCACCCATGCTAGTCTCATGATAGGGATTAAGTTCTCATGAGATCTGATGGTTTTATAAGGGGCTTCTCCCTTCGTGCGGTTCTCATTTCTTCTCTCTCTTGCTGCCCTGTGTAGAAGGACATGTTGCTTCCCCTTCCACCATGATCGTAAGTTTCCTGAGACCTCCCTAGCCATGCGGAACTGTGAGTCAGTCAAACCTGTTTTCTTTATTATGACCCGGTCTCCGGTATTTCTTCATAGCAGCGTGAGAACGGACTAATACATCCAGCCTCCTTTGACTTCCCTTTTGCTGATCCCCACTGAAGTTAAAGATGCACATTTCACACGTGCTTTAAAGATTCTGAAATCTGCATGTTTGGAGTAGGCCAGGCAATATTGAGAAGTTTTGGTATATAAACCTTTGAGAAACTTAAAGTAAACCAATTTTCTCCACTTTTTAACAATACGAGTTTCTGTCTCCTAAATGAAGCATTTATTTCAAAACTCTTATACACAAAACTGTAATCTTAAAATAAGGGTGGGGGGGTGCTCCTGACTGCCTTGGTCTTCTGTTCTGACTAATCTTAACAAAGAAAGCCTCATCTAATAAAGACAAAAGTGGCATCGTTATGAAACTTGTATTGGGCTCTGCTTCTGAACATATATACTGGCATTTTCCTAGATTTGTGATATTATTTAGTACATATTTCACCTAAACTATGTATTCCACAGCACATTTTCCAATGTTATGGATATTTTTTCTAAACTCATCTTAATTTTCCAAGTTCAATACAATGCATAGCCATTTGAAAATAAATGCCCACTAAATTTCAAGCTGTACAAGGTAAACTTACTTTTTCCCCCCACTAAATGATAAACTTGAGTAATATATAGAACCTAACATTTGTGCCAATTCACTCTCCTGCCACCCCTTCTTCAAAATCATAGGTTTCCAAATAAAGGAAACAAAAACTTACGGCTGAATACCCTGCTCCAAATTAAACATAAAGTAATCAAAGTCATTATTAAATGTTTTTCATGTTGTCGAAGGAAACAAAACAACAGGAAGGACAAGAGTTTAGGTCAAGAGGTTCCGGTGTTATCTGCGTCCTTCATTATAAGTGATTTCAAAATCTTTTTCCCTCCAGGAAAAACTAGTGAGTAACAGCTTAGTCTAAATGACAGCAGCTCTGTGGTACGAAGGGTCCACATTTCAGCTAATTTTCAGCTCTTCTTATCCTGATACCATGAGATGGAATTTAATAGATGGCTGGAACATCTATAACATGACATTTACCAAAGGATGTGTCAGCGGCATCCATGGCCTCAACAAAGATGGAGCCTTCAAAACATAAATCAAAGAAAAATATAAGAACATCTTAGAAGAAAAGGATGACAGTGATCCTGCACATTTAAAATATTTTAAATGCCTTAGGGACTCTACGGAGCAAGTAGTGTTAAAAATAATGATGTACCAACTAAAGATATTTAGCTCCCTGTTAAGAGAAGAGGCTATGTAGCAGAAGGAGAAAATCTTTAGATTTTTTTTTTCAAAACATGTGGTTTGAGAGCCCACCTCACACTGTTCCTTTGGTAATTCTCTTATTCTCTGTGAACCTTGTATAGTTTTCTTGGGTGTAAAATAGTCACAGGATTCCCAACCTTACCCAATTCACATGGTTATTAAATCAATAAAGACAATGTGTGTGAAAATACTTTTTGAGCTGTAAAAGGCTCTACATGAAAAGCTTATGTAATAGAATATTAAATTGGAGGTTTCAATTAAAGCCAGATACAAGAGATACTATAAACCAAAAGAGGTGCTGATTGCCTATGTGAATTTACAAATCTAAACATCACTGACATAATTTTTTTAACAGACTTTTTTTTTTTTTAGCAGTTTTAGGCTCAAAGCCAAATCAAGCAGAAAGTACATCCTTTTCTTCCAAACATGGGCTATTTTGAAACATCTCATGAACATCATATTTATAGATTGGTTTGTTGGAGTGAGTGGAGATAATGTTTGAAGGTGAGATAATGTTTGAAGGTGATTTCTTTGTGGAAGAAAAGGGCTTCTATGGAAAGACTCCACTCAGAGAGCTTGATATGGCTCTTCTAGAGTTAAGGAGAAACAGTGATATGATTTGGATCTGTGTCCCCACCCAAATCTCATGTTCAATTGTAATCTCCAGTGTTGGAGGTGGGGCATGGTGGGAGGTGGTTGGATCCTGGGAGCAGTTTCTCATGAGTGGCTTAGCGCCATCCCTCTGGTGCTGTTCTTGGGATGGTGAGTGAGCTTTCACAAGATCCGTTTGTTTAAAAGTGCGTAGCACCTCCTCCTCACTCTGGACAGGTAAAACATCTCACATCTCCTTTGCCTTCTGCGGTGACTGGAAGCTTCCTGAGGTCTCTGTAGAAGCATAAGCCACTATGCTTCCTGTACAGGCTGGAGAACCATCAGCCAATTAAACTCCTTTTCTTTGAAAATTACCCAGTGTCAGGTACTTCTTTACAGTAAGGCAAGAAAGGACTAATACAGAGAGTGAGTTCAGGTCTGACCCGAGTCCCACTTGATAATGTTAAAGGCTAGCTACTTTGTTGGTATAGTTATATTGGGTTTAGTCTGTGATCCCAGAGTTTGTTAAAACAAAATATGTATGAGAATGCCCAATGGAAAATGAAAAAGAGCTGCACTGAAACCACTTTAGTTTCTACCCAAGATGTCCTGGAAGACCAAGGAGACTCCAACAGAGAAAATCGGGGTGGATAACAGTGAAAAACCAGCAGCTGAGAAAGAAGTGATCACCGGAGGAGGAACATCAGTATATGCTTGGAGGTGAAGCAGACATTTCCTCTGGTGACCTCTAAACAACTTGTACAGGAGCCAATGAGATAAAGTTTGCTTTTCACACTTCCTACACTTGACAGCTTAAACATATCCCATGACAGTGTCAGCTGAGTGAGAACTTTCCTGTGCCCTCTTGCTAAGCTCCTAAATTGTGCTTCAACACTGAGGTATCAGAAACAGAAGAGAGCAAAATGGCAGTGCAGGGGAGCAAGTTCAAGGTGGGGAAGGACGGAGGATGCCCCCCACCCCAATATACACCACCCCTCCAGCAAGTGCCCAGCCTAATGCAGGCCCAGCAGGAGTACATGGCAAGCTTTTTATTTGTTTAGTTGGTTGTTTTCAAGAGACTGGACACTACTATGTACTGAAATAAAGCTGTAATTGAAACTTAAAGTTATCCATTTGGCCCTGGGAGAAAATCTATTAATATAACATGACATTTACCAAAGAATGTGTCAGCAGCATCCATGGCCTCAACAAAAATGCTATCTGCCAGGAGGACATGGAAACTCCTTTAGAGGAGACAAAAGAATCCTCAGTAAAAGGAACCACCACCAGATACAGCGTGATGGGTTGTGCAGTTGAAGCTACAAAAGGTTTGTCTTGGACATTAATATGGTTTGGCTGTGTCCCCACCCAAATCTCATCTTAAATTGTAACTCCCACAATTCCCACGTCATAAGAGGAACCCAGTGAGAGGTGCTTGAACTATGGGGGTGGGTTTTTCCTGCACTGTTCTCATGATAGTGAATGAGTCTCATGAGATCTGATCATTTTAAAAAGAGGAGTTCCCTGCAAACTCTCTTTTTGCCTGCCACCATCCATGTAAGACATGACTTGCTCCTTCGTGCCTCTCACCTTCCACCAGAAGTGTGAGGCCTCCCCAGCCGTGTGGAACTGTAAATCCAATAAACCTCTTTCTTTTGTAAATTGCTCAGTCTCGGGTATGTCTTTATCAGCAGACATACAGATATACCGGGAGCTGCTTTACAAAAATCACCAGTAGGCATGAAATTTCCAGTGGCTCAACACGTCCCACTATGACCAACCCTGGTGATAAGCTCAGTGTCTGACACAGTGGCTGCCACACCTGCTCGCTCTGAATTGTCATTTCCAACCCTGCCTCTTCATTCTCCAACCTGAACACCAACATCATTCCACAAAGAAGGCCCTGTGTACACTCTGCCTTTTCCTTCTCTACAGTCAGTACTGGATCAATGTCCACATAGGCCCTATCCACAACCCAACAGCAATCTCCTGGTCCTACTTAAGAGCACATTCACCTTCTAATTTCAGGATCTTCTTTCATAGTCTTGCCATACCTTTCGTGGCTCCAACGCTGTTCTTTGAAAAGAAAACTTCTTTGAGGCAGGAGAATACTCTGTCCCTTTTTAATGCTTGAATCGTAAGTTTAATACAGAAGGAAAGCCCTAGGAAGTAAATCATTGTAGCTGCTTTAAACATTTGAAGAGCCTACAGGTGGAACATTCCTTAGATTTCGTTTTTTTTTTTTTTTTTAAATAACAAAACTAGAAGAATGGGTGGAAACATTTAGGTCAGATAACTTTCTCTCAAGCTCTTTAACAATGAAAACAGTTTTGTGAAAAGCAATGATTATTCCTTTACTCAAAGTGCTCTAGCAAAGTCAGATGACTACAAAGCAAGCATGTAAGAGTAATTATCTTCTATAGGAGGGAATTGAGATTAGACGACTGCAAAGTTGATTCCTATTCTAATTATCTTCTATAGGAGGGAATTGAGATTAGACGACTGCAGAGTTGATTCCTACTCTAATTACCTTCTATAGGAGGGAATTGAGATTAGACGACTGCAAAGTTGATTCCTATTCTAATTATCTTCTATAGGAGGGAATTGAGATTAGATGACTGCAAAGTTGATTCCTATTCTAATTATATTCTATAGGAGGGAATTGAGATTAGACAACTGCAAAGTTGATTCCTATTCTAATTATCTTCTATAGGAGGGAATTGAGATTAGACAACTGCAAAGTTGATTCCTATTCTAAGTATCTTATATCGGAGGGAATTGAGACTAGACAACTGCAAAGTTGATTCCTATTCTAATTATCTTCTATAGGAGGGAATTGAGATTAGATGACTGCAAAGTTGATTCCTATTCTAAGATTATGGATAGGCCAAGGTATACAATGACTATTATATCATTCATTATCATAGTCATTGTATACCTTGGCCTACCATTAATTTACTTCATGAAACATCTTAAACATCAAATAATAATAATAGTAATAAGAATAAAAATATCTACTATGTGGCAGGCACTATGCTAAGCACCAAAGTATGGTCCCTGCCCCAAGGAAATGAATCTAATAAGGGAGCCCAGAACAGGGGGACCCAAATAATCAAGACTTAATTTTTTGGTCATACTCCATTTATTTCATGAACTCTGTTTATGCAAAGTTTATATTTTTATGATAACATTGAACAATAGACATATTATGTCATATTGGTTTATACTGACCTTTACCTAAAGTACTTTAAATAAAAATATCCTATTCAGAGACAAAGACAAAGAGCATGGTTCTCATTTGTTTGTAGCACATTATGGGAGGAGTAGAGTTCATTTCTCCATGAGATACTACTGCTAGCTTTAAATTATGGCCATCTCTGAGTGTACGCTTATTAGCATGGCATTCTAAATTAATATGAAATTCTGTATGCACAACTGAAGATTCATAACACATTAAAAAAAATAGGGTCATTCTGACACTAGACAGAAATATAATTCTTTGAAACTAGCCGTGGGAGAACCCGTAGTTCAATCATACCAACAAATGACTGAAGGGTTTTAATCATACTCAGAGATTCAAGTGGACCATGCCCAGTGCATGCCATAGACTCTGGCATCAGTGAGTATCGTGCCCTACAACAAACCCACTTGGCTAACTAGTCACTTTACAAATCATATTCTATGAGCATTTCCCTTTTAATTTTCATAATTTCCTTTTTCCCAGTACGCAATACTCTTCCATTTTCTTTTCAGCAAGGGAAAACTCCATGTTTCACTTCTAATCCAGTTCTAGAATCTTAATCCCCACTTTAGAAAACAGAGTCCAGTGAATTTTACTCTTTTCAGGGAAAGCCTGCAGAGTAAGTGTCAACTCTCCCTCAACCTTATAAGAAAACTAATGTGACTCAATGTGAGTGCTTTCAGCAAGAATCTGAGCTCAAGTTCCCCAGATTAAACTCTCAGTTTGGTTTCTTTCTCGCCGGGTGACCCAAGTAAAGTCAATTAACCTCTCCGTTTCCCACCCGGCTTTACTGATGCATTTACGCAGGTAGCTGGATATTCCCAGATGGAAGAGCATGCACGCATACATTCATAATGCAAACTCATATCACAGTACTGGTCTGTACTGGCTTGCCTCATTCTGAAGCAGTATTTTCAGGGAGACTCCCCTGCCCCGCACATTTTATCACTGTAAGATAAGATATTTGTTTCTTATAAAGCATCAACAAAGGATCTACTATGTAGGAAGAAAAGGCTACTAAATTCTATTTATGTTTCCCCAGTGAGATTTTTGAGCCATTCGCTTCTTAAGCACATAAATTAACCCACTGCCCTACAGATGTAGTTTTTACTTCCACAAGTCTTGATAAAGCTCCTCAGTGCTCAAACGGATAATATGTCAGTTTCACTCTGCAGAGACTCAGGAAGGTACATCTATGTGTAGAAACAGGCACTGGAGAAAAGTAGCATTTCACACACAAAAACAGTTTCAAGGCTAGCCAAGTCTAGTACAGGCAAAGTGATACAAATAGGGCATAGAACAGCAGGGTTTCCACGCAGGAAAGAAACTGATGAGTTCAGGAAAGTGGGCTAAAACGGTGATGCATTTACAAATGTGATAGTCGCTGATCATTGCCAACCCAACGTGCTTCTCACCCTCTGTCCTTGCTCATAGGAATCCGATTTTTTTTGGAGATGGAATGGGCCCAGACTAGGGGATAAAATAGGACTGGTCTAAGCCAATCATGGCAATTCTGTTTCCATGTGGCAAACACTTGCTTTTCAACATGCTTCGTTACTATCACTGGCCATATGGCCCAGTTATAAATGATGAGCTGTAAGGAGAGGCCTATTAGGAGGCTTCTAAGAATTATCTTTTTCCATTTTGTTTATTTTTATGTATTTATTTATTTTTGAGACGGAGCCTCACTCTGTCACCCAAGCTGGAGTGCAATAGTGCCATCTTGGCTCACTGAAACCTCTGCCTCCTGGGTTCAAGTGATTCTCCTGCCTCAGCCTCCTGAGTAGCTGGGATTATAGGCACATGCCACCACAGCCAGCTAATTTTTGTATTTTTAGTAGAGACAGGTTTTCACCATGTTGGTGAGGCTCGTCTCGAACTCCTGACTTCAAGTGATCCACCGACCTCGGCCTCCCAAAGTGCTGGGATTACAGGTGTGAGCCACCGTGCCCGGCCAGAATTATCTGTTTTATATAGAAGAGACAGGCACTGCTGTGTCCGTTGTTATCCTGCCTTGCACACAGAATTGATGCCTTGATGCTCTGTTCTATGCCATGAAGGACAGTGGCTAGTAAAGCTAGAAACAGCCCCGTCAGTGTGTGAGTCAACAAGAATGTCCTGATGGGTTTATCTGCTGTGTGAGTGCCTGATCCCTGCCAGGAGACAGCATCACGAACCAATAAACAAACCAACCAAGTTTTTAAACATGATACATA